>NC_000009.12:62249738-62549738 GCF_000001405.40 Homo sapiens | reverse complement strand
CATCTGATGCTAACCTCGAAATTCTCATCCTTCTCCTTCCTCGTGCATTGCTCCTTCCAGGCATTCTTTAATCACAGCTGTGTTGGAGGCTGGGATTCCAGACCCAGCACTAACAGGGTACAGCCACAGCTGCAGCATCTCACAGTGACCTAGAGCCTGGCCCAGCTACCCAACTCAGGCAGTTCATCTAGCACAGCATCCCTGGGAGGTGGCCACTGTGAGATTCACTTCGGATTAGGAACTGAGGCTCCAAAGCCACAAATGACTTGCCCAACATCAGGCAGAAGGATTAGAATTTAGGTCTGCCGGCCTCTAAAGCTGTCTCTCAAAGAATAGACCATCAACCAAGGAGACAGATTATTTCCAGGTAATACAATGAAGTAATGTAACTACAAAGAAGGATGAGTAATCATGGTGGGGGCAGGATGTGGGGGGGCTGTCCCTGCATCTGTCTCTTCTCTTCCTCCTGCCCCCAGGCCCAGCCACTGAACACGCTCCTGGACCTTGACGTGCTGGGCTTCCATGTTGTCCTGTCTTGGCTCAGACACCACAGAAGGATCACTCCCCTTCCGGTGATAATGGAGTTCTTCATTACTAAAGTGTGCAGTCATGAAATCCATTACTAACCCTGAGACTCTCAGGCAAGAGGTGACAGGTCAGCTAAGTGGGAGAACAGTAGCAAAGTCTAATGGAATAAGACGGGGAGGCTTCCAATCAGAGAAGGACAGTAAACACAGATACAAGCTGGGTGGCCTCCACACCTGTATTCAGTCCCCCAAGGTACTGTGGGGAAGAAGACATCTGCAACTCAGTAAAATCACATCTAAATCCTCAAAAAGGATTCTTCTCCTCTATACATTAGTCAAAACCCTCATGGGTACTTTATCCAGATATGAACATAAAATAGTATTTTCTGCACATCTAATTAGCAATAATTCAGGACCATTACAATAGTCCAGGTGGCGAGGACCAGTGAGATCCTTTGATGCTTCTCTTGAAAAATGTACATGGTGCCATTTTTTGCAGCATCATTTGGCAATATGTATTAAGAAGCTGTAAAATATTTACAGCCTTTGACCTACAAATCGTACCTCTGGGAATTTTTAGGAATATAATATTCAGAGATACTGACAAAGACCTGTGTACAGAATGTTCATTGCAAACCAGCTCTGTTCTATGCTTTAAAGAGCCCATTATTCACAATAGCTGAAAATTGGAAGCAACTTCCATGACCAATGAATAGGAAAAAAGTAGAGAAAATCGCTGGGGTGGGGGGACTCTACAATAAAAATCATAATGCTTTCCAAATGTTTTAGAAAGAATGTTGATGCTACGGGGGAAATGAGGGAGCTTCCTAATGAAGCATATTAAACTTAATAGATCTCAAAGGCGACTCTTGTTTTCACACTCAAATATGGCTCTTCCTTTTCTTCTCTCAGTGAAAAGCACTGAGTTGGGAAAAGTCCCCATTTTCTCCCAGTTTCTCAAGTCAAAAATCTAGAATTTGTTCTTGATTCTTTCCTTTCTCTCTCACTGGACAGCCACTGCTACAATCAGTCCTGCTGGGGCTGCTTTCAAATGAATACCTCTGGGCCATCCCCTTCCCTATCTTCACCCTCCCCCTTCCTCATCTTCCTCTCCTCCCTCTTCCTCCCTCCTTGTCCCTTATCTACTCCCTCCCCTCCTTGCCCTTCTCTTCATCTCCCTTCCCCTATTACTCCCTCCTCTCCCTATCTGCTCCTGTCCCTCCCCTTCCCACCCCACCTTACCCGGCCATCACTTCATTCTCACTAGGTCTCCTCTCTCAGGGATGACCCCAATGTCCTTCTGCTACTTGAGGGGTTCCCAGCTTCCTTCTTTAGCCCAGAGCCCCTTCTGTGTCCACAGCCAGAGGCCTCCCATGGAATGTAAGTCCTTCACTCACTCCCTGTTGGACTCCCCACCAGTGGATTCCTTGCTACTTAGAGCAAAACACAAAGCTCTTCCTGTGGAACTGAGCTTCGACTGGTGGGGGACATAAGAGGCAGCCACTGGTCCAACCAGCCAAGGCCTAAAGCTCGCAGAAGAGAAATTCTCATTAGCAGAATTTTCAGTCGTTGGAGCTGAGCTGCAGGATGTTTGAGTGTGGACACCTAGCACAAAATGTACCAATGGGGGGCTGGTCCGAGTCTTTAGTCCCCTACCATGCTCCCTACCTCTGTACTGTGTGCTCCTGTCACTCTAGCTTCCTTCTGCATGGAATGCCTCCTTTCTGTTTTCTGTGGTCACACCTCTGCACTGAGCCCCATGAGACCCACCAACTTCAGAAGCTGCCCCTGACACCTCTGGCAGTAGGCAGGTGTGTCCTGTGCTGTCCATGCCCTTCCTTTGTACCTATAAGCTGGTGACTCTGTTCTGTAGATAGTTAGGTCCCTGTCTCATCTTCCCAGCCGGACTGTGAGGTATTCATGGTGGGATCTATGTCTGATCCATCTCAGGGAGTCCCGTGGAGCTTGACCTAATGCCTGGCATGTGGGAATCCCAGAGAGGAAACAGTATGTGCAAATGCTGGAGATCTGATGGCACCTGTGGCAATACGGAAGATTCCATGTGTGTAAAGGGCAACAAAATAGAGCAGTATTAGATAAAATAAATATTCTTGAGTGCATACTGATATAAATAAATGATTAAATAAGTTAATGAATGAGGGAAAGGAGATAAATTCACATGCAGGATTTCAAATGAATTATGTTATATATTCCATCCCAAAGGAGGGCGAGAATAACTCCCCACTCCTTAAGTGTGGGCTGCACACAGTGACTTATTCTCCAAAGAGGACGGTATGGAAGAGGGGGAAAAGAGAAACTGCAGTGGAGAATCCTGATGAGCACTACCTCTGCCAGGTCTTTAGTGATGTCAGTCATCCCCTTTTTATATTCATAATTTTCTCTTTTTTCCCAATCAATCCAGCTGGAGATTTGTCGTTTTCATTGATTTTTCCCAAAGAACACGTTTTTGGATTCATTGATTTTTTTTCCTTTTTTTTTATTTCACTGATTCCCATTTTGATCTTTATTATTCCTTTTCTGCTGGTTACTTTAGATTTAATTTGCTCTTCCTCATATATATTTTGAGACAGAGTCTTGCTCTGTTGCCCAGGCTGGAGTGCAGTGGCACAATCTCGGCTCACTGCAACCGCCACCTCCTGGGTTCAAGTGACTCTCCTGCCTCAGCCTCCCAAGTAGCTGGGATTACAGGTGCCAGCCACCATACCCAACTAATTTTTGTATTTTTAGTAGAGACGGAGTTTCACCATGTTCGGTAGGCTGGTCTCGAACTCCCAACCTCAGGTGCCTGTCCACCTCGATCTTCCCCAAGTGTTAGGATTACAGGCATGAGCCACTGCGCCTGGGCGATATTCTTAAATTAGAAACTGAGATTGCTGATATGAGACCCTTCTTCTTTTCTAATATAGTAATATCATAAATTTCCCTTCAGGTACTTCTTCAGTGACAACCGACAAATTCTATGTTGTTTTTCTATTTCCAGTAACTTCAAATAACTTTCTAATATTCCTTTAGATTTCTTCTTTGACCTATGAGTTATTTAGAAGTGAGTTAATTTCCAATTTTTAAAGGATCTTTCTGTTACTGGTTTTTAATTTTATTCCATTGTGACCTGAGAACATATTTTGTAGTTGAATACTTTTTAATTTATTGAGGTTTTTAATGGGCTATAATGTGGTCTATCTCCATAAATATTCCGTGCACAGTTGACAAAATGTGTATTTTGCTTTTATAGGGTGGAGTATTCTATAAATATAAATCAGGTCAGGTTAGTTGATGGTGTTGTTCAAGTCTAATACATTCTTGCTGATTTATTGCCTATTTATTCTATGAAGTGTTGAGAGTGGGATTAAAATCTCTGATGGTTATCTCTATCTCTACGTATTGTTTTATTACTTTTCTTCATAAGTTTTGAAGCTTTGTTGTTAGGTACAAAAACACATAGGTTTGTTATGTCTTCTTCGTTAACTAACCACATTATCAGTAAGAAATAATCTCTTTATTCCCTGGTAATAGTCTTTGCTCTGAAGTCTATTTTGGCATTCGTATAGCCACCTCAGCTTTCTTTTGACTAGTCTTGGCATGGTATATCTTTTTCCATCCTTTTACATCTAACCTATTTGCATCTTTATATTTAAACTACATTTCTTGGCCAGGTGTTGTAGCTCACACCTGTAATCCCAGCACTTTGGGAGGCCAAGGCAGGTGGATCACCTGATTTCAGGAGTTTGAGACCAGCCTGGCCAAGATGGTGAAACTCTGTCTCTACTAAAAATGCAAAAATTATCTGGGTGTGGTGGCAGGGGCCTGTATTCCTAGCTATTTGGGAGGCTGAGGCAGGAGAATCGCTTGAACCTGGGAGGCAGAGGTTGCAGTGAGATCACGCTGTTCCACTCCATTGCACTCCAGCCTGGGCAACAAGAACAAAACTCCATCTCCAAAAATAAGTAAATAAATAAAGTACATTTCTTGCAAGCCAAATACAACCAACTTTAAAAAAAATCCAATCTGACAACCTGTCTTCTAAATCAATTTAAATGTAATGTAATTCCTAATATGGTTGAGTCTCTTATCTTGCTATTGTTTTCTACTCATCCCATCTGTCCTTTATTCTCTTTTACGTCTTTTTCTGTCTTCTTTTGGATTTACCCAATATATTTTTATGATTCCATTTGATCTCCTTTGTTAGTTTAATAGCTATAATCTTTTGGTTTGTTATCTTAGTCGTGGCTCCAGGGTTTACAGTGTACATCTTTAACGGATCACGGCCGACCTTCAGGTGACAGTAGATCACATCAGGTACAGTTTAAGAATCTGAGAATAGTAAACTTCTCCCCTTTTAGTCTTTAAGCTCTTATTGTCATCCATTTTACTTTTACATATATTATAAACTGCATATTACTTTATTTTCTAAACAATTATCTTTTAGAGAAGTTTAAATAATATAAAGTATATATCCATGTTGTTACTATTTCTGGTATAGATACACGATGTTACTATTTCTGGTGTAGACCATTTCTTTGTGTGGATCCAGATTTCCATCTGGTATTGTTACGGGATCCTTGGGGTATCACTTCATCAGCCAAAAGCCTCTATGGCCAGTGGCGCCTTTGCCCGAGTTTTGCTCTGGATCTCTGGTCTTGTTCCACCCACTCAGCCTGGCAGGCTGTGCTCAGTTCCCACTATGAGCCTGGATCGCATGTCTGCCAAGGGTGAGCCAGGCACAGAGCAGCAAGGGGTGTGTGAGCAAGCATGGGGTCCAGCCACTGCACACAGCCAGGCATGCCGGCTGAGGGGGGATAGGCGATGGACAGGCAGCTTCAGGCACTGGCACGGGTGCCAGCTCCATGCAAGGCTGCAGCTAGACCAGGCATACCATAAGCAGCTTCCACGGCTGACACCAGGAAATGTGGTGGTGCCCAGAACCTTGGAGATGCCAGGAACCCACAGAGCCCTAAAGAGGGTGTCACAGCCCTGGCTCAGAGTTCCTAGGTCTGGGCTCCATGAAGAGCCACAGCTCTTCTCTTCTCTCTTCTCATTGCTTGCAATGTGACAAACAAGGGTCATGTTTCAGCACTGTTTGTGTTATAGCTATTTTAGCTCCGCCATTCAGCAGGTCTCCAGGTCTTGTCCTGCGACCAGGAAGAATGATATATGCAGACAAGTGGAAGGTGAACAAGATGAAGAGGAGCTTTACTGAGAGATAAGACAGCTCAGAGGAGACCCGCAGTGGGTAACTCCTCTCCATAGCCAGGGTGTCCTGTTGAGTACTGAGCTCTCAGCAGAGAGGGCAGCTCCTCTCTGCAGGCAGGTCATCTTGTTGTCTCTTCAGCTCTCAGCAGAGAGGGTAGCTCCTCCCTGAAGACTGGTGGCCCACCCCCCAGGCTTCATCCCCACCCCAGCTTGCAGGTGGGGCTTCATTGGGAACCTGCTCCCTTCCACCCAAGAGCCTGTTTGCCTCCTGGCATTGTTCATGGCACCCACGTTATCCATGCCAAGGAGTACCTGCAGGCCAGTGCCAAGCTGTCCTCAGCCCCACTTCAGCCTCCTCCCCATGCTTGTCAGCCTCCACAGTCCAAAGAGGGCCAAGGGGCTGGCATGTCAGCACTACTCCAAGCATGCACACATGCAGCTGGGATGCGAAAGTGCTGAGAGAGAGACAGTGCCCCAGGTTGTGAACTGTGACGGGAGCAGATGCTAACAGTGAGGAGAACACAGACAGTGGGAGCAGGCACTTCCTAGCCTGCAGGGACAGGGGTGCATTCCTGGGCCCCCAAGAGTACAGAGATTCCTGGGTCCACAGCTGCAGCTTGGGTGGCTGCAGCTGCACTTGGGAGGGCAGGGCTCCTGCCTACTCTTGGCTCCCAAGAGCACAGGAGTGCCCTGGTAGCAGCCACAGCTTGGGTGGCTGCAGCTGCACCTGGGAAGCTCCCACTCTACCAACTTTCTGGCTCCATAAAGCATGCAGCCCTGGCCATACCACTGGTCTGCATTTTCCCCTTAGTGGCAGCAGGCAAGGTGCGGGTGGCTGGTGGCCTCAGCCAACCCCGTGCAAACAAACCCAATGCTCCTGGGGCCACCCCAAGAGTCCTGGCTGCACTATCAGCTCACAGACTCCTGAGACGCAGCAGACAGCGAGGTTGAAGTCACGGCGGAGGTTCCGGGCCTGCAGTGGGTCCTGCCCAGTTGTGCAAGGGTTGGGGTGGTGCAGTCAGCTGCCTCAGGGATGTAGGGCACAGGGGACCCACCATGACCACTGCTGCTCCCACAGCCACTCCTGCCACCACCACTTGTGCCTCCACACTGCAGCTGGCGTGATAACAGTGGCTGCTCCAGATGGCACACTGCTGCCATTAGTATCGTTTTCCTTATGCCTGAAGGACATCCCTTAACTTTTCTTATAGTGCAGTTCTGCAGGTAGTAAAGTCATTCAGCTTTTTCGAGTCTGAAAACTTCTTTATTTCTTCATCTATTATTCTCTTTTTGATGACCGTTAGTTAAACCAATCCATTGAACTTTCCATTTCAATTATGATACTTTTCATTTCGTTTCCACTTGGTACTTTCCCCAATGTATTTGGTTATTTTCATGCTCAAGTTATTTCAACTCCTTTGTTTCTTTAAGTATAAAACACACTTTGTACTGTCTTTGCTGACTTGACTGTCTTAAGTTTTTGCAGGCCTGCTCCTTCTGTCCATTGTTTCTGGTGGCTCTTGCCAATTTTACATTTGTGATTTTTTATTGTGAACTTATATTCCTTGAAAGTATCTCAGAGTTCCTCCACAGACAATCCATTTTGCATCTGTCAGTCACCTAGAAGGCACCAAAAAGCTGATATTGCGGTAAATTTGAAGCTTGAGACATTTTAGACCACCCAGGTTGTGTGAACAAACCAGTTAAAGGGCTATATACATACATATATATATATATATATATATATATATATATATATATATATATATATATATACACACACACATAAAACTCTCAGGGGAGATGTTTTCTCTCAGGATACCCAATGTTCCTCACTGTTCCTAGGGAAGCAGGGGTCAAGGGCAGCATACAGGGGGAGGCGGACAGGTTTATTCATAGTTCACCCTTACACTAAGTCTGTCCTTTTGGATCTCACTTTATGATGTCTCCTTTTAGCCCCTCCCACTTGGCCAGGCCCTCAGCTTTGTCTGCTGTTCTGCTGCCCCTTTTCCACCTCAGGCTGTGAAAAACAGCAAAGTTTAGTTTGACAGGCAAATATCTTAAGGGTGAAAAGTGGCATCAGTGCCTTAGTTACTTCTTTGGGTTTCACTTCCATTTTAAAACTTTTTTAGCTTTTTGGAACTCTTATTTTGTAGCTCATTGACACATTTTTAAGAGGTTCTTGATATGTATTCCAGAAGCTTTAGCTGTTTTCAGCTGGTCCTTATCAGCCCTACTGTTGGAAATAAAATTCTTTCAACTTGTTCTTTAGCAATGTACAGGCTCCATAGAGCTCTCGCTGCTCCTGAGGCAATAGGGTAAGAACGCCACTTAGGAATCAGGCTGGCCTGAGATCAAGTCTCAGATCCACCAGCAGTGTGACATCAGTGCCTCGCTTTCTTTATAGGGTTGGTGATATGGTTTGGCTCTGAGTCCCCAGCCAAATGTCATGTCGAATTGTAATTTCCAGTGTTGGAGGAGGACCCTGGTGGGAAGTTATTGAATCATAGGGGTGGACCTCCCCCTTGCTGTTCTTGTGATAGGGCTCTCATGAGATCTGGTTGTTTAATACTGTATAGTAACTTCCCCTGCGCTCCTGCTGTCCATATGAAGATATGCTTCCTTCCCTTTCACCTTCCGCCATGACTGTAAGTTTCCCTAGGCCTCCTCAGCCATGCTTCCTGTACAGCTTGTGGAACCATGAGCCAATTAAACCTTTTTTTCTTTATAAATTACCCAGTCTCAAGTAGTTCTTTATAGCAATGTGAGAACAAACTAATACAGAAAATTGGTACCAGAGAAGTAGGGCATTGCTACAAAGATACCTGAAACTGTGGAAGCGAGTTTGGACTTAGGTAATAGGCAGAGGTTGGAACAGTTTGGAAGGCTTATAAGAATACACGAAGATGATGGCTGGGCATGGTAGCTCATGCCTGCAATCCCAGCACTTTGGAAGGGTGAAGCAGGTGGATCATTTGAGGTCAGGAGTTCAAAGCCAGCCAGGCCAACATGGTGAAACTCTGTCTCTACTAAAAATACAAAAAAAAGTTAGGCGGGCATCATGGCACATGCCTGTAATCCCAGCTACTCAGGAAGCTGAGGTAGGAGGATCATTTGAACCCAGGAGGCAGAGGTTGCAGTGAGCCAAGATTGTGCCACTGCATTCCAGCCTGGATAACAGAGTGAGACTTCATCTGAAAAAAACAAAAATGAAAACAAAACAAAAAAACAGAAGACAGGAAGAAAAGTTTGGAACTTCCTAGAGACTTGCTGAATGGTTGTGACCGAAATGCTCATATAGTGATATGGACAGTGAAATCCAGGCTGAGGTGGTCCCAGATGGAGGTGAGGAACTTATTGGGAACTGGAGTTTGCAGTCACTCTTGCTATGATTTAGCAAGGAGATTGGTGGCATTGTGCTCCTACTCTAGGGATCTGTGGAACTTCGAACTTGAGATGATTTAGGGCATCTGGCAGAAGAAATTTCTAAATTTCTAAACAGCAAAGCATTCAAGATGTAACTTGGCTGCTTCTAACAGCATATGCTCATATGCATTCACAAAGAGATGATCTGAAATTGGAACTTATATTTAAAAGGGAAGCAGAGCATAAAAGATGGGAAAATTTGCAGCCTGACCATGTGGTAGAAAAGAAAAACCAAATTTCTGGTAAGACATTCAACTCAGCTGCAGGAATTTGCATAAGTAAAGAGGAGCAGAATGTGAATAGCCAAGACAATGGGGAAAATGCCTCCAGGACATTTCAGAGATCTTCACAGTAGCCCTTCCCATCACAGGCCTGAAAGATTAGGAGGGAAAAATGGTTTTGTGGCCTAGGCCCAGGACCCCACTGTTGTGTACAGCCTCGGGACATGTCACCCGGAATCCCAGCTGCTCCAGCTCCAGCTGTGGCTAAAAGGGCCCCAGATACATCTCAGGCCACTGCATCAGAGGGTGCAGCCATAAGAAGCCTTTGTGGCTTCCATGTGGTTTTAAGCTTACAGGTGCAAGGAAGGCAAGAGTTGAGGCTTGGGAGTTTCCACCTAGATTGTAAAGGTTGTATGATAATGCCTGGATGTCCAGGAGGAAGTCTGCTATAGCGTCAGAGCCCTCATGGAGAGCCTTTACTAAAGCAGTCTGGAGGTGAAATGTGGGTTTGGAGGCCCCACTCAATGTCCCCACTGGGGCACTGCCTAGTGGAGCTGTGAGAAGAGGGCCACTGTCCTGCAGGCCAGAGAATGGTAGATCCACTGAAAGCTTTCACTGTGTGCCTGGAAAAGCCACAGGCACTCAATGCCAGCCCATGGAAGCAGTCACTGGGGCAGTACCCTGCAGAGCCATGGGGCAGAGCTGCCCAAGGCCTTGGGACCCCACCCCTTGCATCAGTGTGGCCTGGATGCACACCATGAGCAGTAATGGGAAAATTCTTATTGAAAAAGGCAAGAACAAATCAACCCAGTGAGATGAATTACATGTTGCACTCCTTCCTGGGATGGAAGAATTGAACAATGATAGGATCTTCTACATTTCGGTTTTTACTTTACTGACTCATGGGCAGTGGCCAATGGCCTGGCCATGTAACCAGGAAGAGGGGCAATGGCAAACTGGGCTGTGAAAGGATCCCCACATGGAGCACAGCACTGCAGGAATTTAAAGGGCACATTAAAGTAGGTCATGTCAATGCCCACCTGAAGAACCCCTCCCAGGATCAGTGATCAGATCTGGTAGGTGGATATCCTGGTGACCTTGAGGTGGCCACCTGGGCTTAATGAAGGAGTGGACACAGGGGAGCTGCAGCCGTGCAGGGATGGGCTGCTCAGCAACAAGTCCCTCCTCCACCCTCAGAGGCACCAAATGCCAACAAGAACTGTCCTATCTGACAGCAGGAAGACAGAGACCGCAGGTGGCTATGGGGCAGGTTCCCAGTGGGAAGGCACCACTCATAGCTAACAAGTAGATTATACCAGACTGAAGCCAGTATCCCTGGGAGGCTATAATGGGTCCTGACACATTCTCTGGACTGGGCTTTGCATAGTCATTAGATTCAAATGCCAAAAATACCATAAAAGAACTGGAACAGATGATAAGACATCAACTTGGACCACCAAGTTTTATTTCTTCAGGCCAAAGAACACATTTATAGCCCACAGTGTCCTATAATGGACATACCATGTTGCATATTGTCTTCATCTCCTAGGGCTGCCATAACAAAGTGCCACAAACCATGTGGCTGACTTACAGAACAAAATGCACTGTCTCACAGTTCTGGAGACTAGAAGTCTGAGATCAAGTTCTTGGCAGGGCTGGTTCCTTCTGAGGGCTGTGAGAAAGAATCTAATCCACACTTCTCTCCTAGCTTCTGGTGGTTTGCTGGCAATCTTTGGCATTCCTGGGCTTGTAGAATTCTGCCTTCATCTTCATATGGCATATCCCCTGTGTTATCTCTGTGCACAAATTTCCCTTTTTTATAAAGACACAAATCATACTGGATTAGGGGGCCCACCCTATTACACCATGACCTCATCTTAACTAATTACATTAACAACAATCTCATTTCCAAATAAGGTCATGTTCTTAGGTACTGGGGGTTCTGAGTTCAGCATACGAATTTTTTATTTAGGGTAACATATATCCCTTTTTTCAGTTTTTATTGTGTTAAAACACACATAAAATTTACCATCTTAACCATTTTAAGTGTACAATTCAGTGGTATTAAATACATTGATAATGTTGTACAATTATGCCCACAACCCATCTGCAAAACTCTCTTCATCTTGTAAAACTGAAATGATATTTATTAAAACCTAACCCCTACCCCCTCCTCCCAGCCCCTGGCAACCACCATTCTAACTTCTGTCTATGAAGTTGATATTCTAGGCCCCTCATTTAAATGGAATCATGCAGTATTTGTTTTTGTGACTGGCTTATTTCACCTAGCATAATGTACTCAAGGTGCATCCATGTTATAGCATATGTCAGAATTTTCTTCCTTTTGGAAGCTGAATAATATTCCACTGTATGTATGTATATGTCAGATTTTGTTTTTCCATTCATCCCTCAATGAATGCTTAGATTATTTCCACTTTTGGCTATTGTGTCTAATGCTGCTATGAACACGGGTGTACAGATATTTCTTTGAGACCCTGCTTTCAATTATTTTGGTATTCCACCCAGAAGTGGAAATGCTGGATCATAGGGTAATTCTGTTTCTAATTTCTTGAGGAATCACCATACTGTTTTCCATACCAGATGTATGGTTTTATATTCCCACCAACAGGAATATAAGCATTCCAAACATGAATTTTGTGGGAACATATTTCAAACCATAGCAGTCACCAAAAGCTCAAGCAACAAAACAAAAAATAGATCAGTTCAATTTCATTAAAAAGTTCTGTGTTTCAAAGTCGACATGGTTTGGCTGTGTCCCCACCTAAATCTCATCTTGAGTTGTAACTCCCAGAATTCTCATGTGTTGTCGGAGAAACCCAGTGGAAGGTGACTGAATAATGGGGGCAGGCCTTTCTTGTGCTATTCTCATGATAGTGAATGAGTCTCAGGAGATCTGATGGTTTTAAAAATGAGAGTTTCCCTGCACAAGCTCTCTCTTTGCCTGCTGCCATCCATGTAAGACGTGACTTGCTCCTCCTTGCCTTTCATCTTTCACCATGATTGTGTGGTCTCCCCAGCCACCTGGAACTGTGAGTCCAATAAAACTCCTTCTTTTGTAAATTGTCCAGTCTCAGGTATGTGTTTATCAGCAGCATGAAAACAGACTAATACAATGGTTACATAAGAAAATAAGGACAACCACAGAATGGGACAAAAACTTATAAGTCCTATATCTGATAAGGAACACATGTTCCAGATGATATAACCACTCTTACAACTCAATAAAAAGAAAACTCAATTTAAAAATGGGCAAAAGATGAATAGACATTTCTTCAAAAAGATGAAAAATGGCCAATAAGCATGTGAGAAGGTGCTCAATAACATTCATTATTAGGGAAATGCAAATCAAAACACAATGATACACCACTTCACCCCAACGAGATAACTAAATTCAAAAGACAAACAATAAGAAGTCTCAGCAAAAACAGGAAACTGGATAAGAACCTTCATTCAACGCTGAGGGAATGTAAAATCTTGTCTGTTTTGGAAAACATTTTGGTAGTTTCTCAAAAATTAAAACAGAGTTATCATATGATCCAGTAATTACACTCCAAGATATATACTTAAAAGAAATGAAACCACACAAAAACGTATACCTGAATGTTCACAGCAGCATTATTCATCAAAGCCAAAGTGGAAACAAGACCACTCAAGCCAGCCCTGCCTCGGAACCTGACAAAGTTAAATGGAAGCCTACAGAGCTGAGCTGCATTTCCATGGGAGACATTTTGGTCATTCCAGGTGATGATGAACTACACCAATTGTTAGTGGCTGAGAAGAACCTCAGGAATGTGCCAGCATCTTTTGACTTTTATTTCAGGGGGCTGCATCTACTACCACAACATGCAATATGGGTAACACTGGCATGGCTGGTTAGATTTGAGTACCTCATGTAAATAAGTCATGTGGTAATAGTGATATTGATGATCAAATGTATTGGGAGATTGAGTTAAGGTCTCCTCAGGATGTAATACCAACGGAAAATGAATCTTTAGAAGAACTATATTTAGTTAACCATCACCTAATTTCCAGATAAATAGTTCTGCACAGGTCATATAAGATACAAAGAGCAGTATACCAAGGGGGAGGATGATCTTGGGGACTCCTGAAATATACTGTAAATAACCCAGATATCCTCCAGTAAATAAATGGATATACAAAGTGTGGTATACATACATATGTACATACAGTGGAACATTATTCAGCCGTAAACAGGAATGAAGTACTGATACAGCCTACACAATGAATGAACCTCAATAAACCGTAGAATCCTGCTAAGTGAAAGAAGCCAGTCAGAAAAGACCAGATATTGGATGACACATTTATATAAAATGTCCAGAATAGGCAAATCTAGAGACAGAAAGCAGATTCATGGTTGTCAGGGGTTGAGGGAAGGAGGAAATGAGAAGTGATTAAGTGAATTAATGCATGTTAACACCTTAAACTTTGGGCAACTGCCCAATCACACAGACAGTGCAGTCTCATTCATGCATTACATGACAAAACAAAGAGAAAAGCCTGGGTAGAAATACCAACATGTATATTATGAAAAATATAACACCTAAATAAACAGAGAAACTATGTTCCTTAATGAGCAAATTCAATATTATAAGGTTGCCAATTCTCCTCCCATAGTTTCTCAAAAGTTGCAATGTAATGCAATTTTAATCCAAATGGCATGGTTATCTAGACAAGAAAAAAATTGATTGTAAAATTTATATGAAATAATAAAGGTGTGAGAACTGCAAGGAAAATTTTCAAATGGAAAATTATTACAGGAGAAAGGAGTGTGGAGACCTTGCTCTGTATGGTAGAAGTCAAAGACAGCTACCATCAATTCTTTCCCTTCCTCAACACACATTGCTTCTCAAGAGGTGAGGAATAGCTCCCTTCCCCTAGAATGTGGCTGCCTTGCAACTTGCTCAATCCATAGAATATGACATAAATTCCATTCTGGGAATTCTACTATTGGATTTTTTTTTTTTTTTGAGATGGAGTCTCCCTCTATTGCCAGTCTTGAGTGCAGTGGTGCAATCTCAGCTCACTGCAACCCCCGCCTCCCAGGTTCTAGAAATTCTCCTGTCTCAGCCTCCCAAGTAGTTGGGACTACCGTCACACACCACCATGCCCAGCTAATTTTTGTATTTTTTTTTTTTATTGGAGACGGGTTTCACTATGTTGGCCAGGATGGTCTCGATCTCATGACCTTGTGATCTGCCTGCCTTGGCCTCCCAAAGTGCTGGGATTACATGCGTGAGCCATCGCACCTGGCCCGATTTTTTTTTTTTTTTTTAAAGAAACTGAAGCCTCTACTTCGGTCTCTTGGTAGCCTTGCTCCTGGGAAGCTCTTTCTTGAATCTAGTCACCATTCCATTCCACCAGGCCACATATGTCTTCTCCAGGCAACAGCCAACATCAATTGTCAGCCGTGTAAGTGAGTTTCAGATGACTGTGGCCCCGGCTAATGTTTGACTGTAGCACATGTGAGAGGCCCCATGCAGAAACCCCTAGAACCATGGAGAGCAGTCATCCTGCAGAACCATGAGTAAGTTAAGCTTAGGGGTGGTTAATTATGCAGAAATAAGTAAACAGAGCACTCCACCAGGTATTAAAGATTATTACAAAGATTATGTAATTAAAACAATACAGAACAGACCAGGGTTGACTACAAGATCAATGGGACAGAATAAAGTTACATATCCAATGCCTGCTGCTGACCACAGGGATTTGTCACAGATCTCATCAGTTAGAAACCCTACAGTGGTTTCCCTGGTCACCTTCCAGTCACCACTACACCTTGGCTCCTTTTAGCACGCCTCCCTAGGTTATCACTATATGAAATTGCTTTACCTCTTTGTATTGTCTGTCACCTGCCACCATAATGTGAATTTCTAGACCTCCATAGCATGCAAAGCTCTAGAACAGTTCTTAGAACACAGAAGGTGCTTGACAAATATTTTCTGAAAGAAAAAGAAGATACTTCAATACCTCAGTTTACTAATGAGGTGGGGCTACCATATGGCTGCCTGAACAAATACAGCTTGACATTCACTTTCTTGCTAGTGATTGAAGTGTATTAACTTGTGTACTCACACAACTACCCTACGGGGTAGGTGCCCTTATTTCTCCATTTGGCAGAGAGGGGCTAAGTATCTTAACCAAGGTCACACGGCTTTCAAGTGCCAGAGCCAGGACTCAGATCTACATAGGTCTGGCTCCAGAGCCCCCAGTCTAACCTCTTAACCTCTCTGCTTTACTGGGCTAAACCTTCACCACCTATCATATGGAAAAAGAAATTCAATAGAAAGTTATATGGAAAAAATACAACCCTGTGTTAATATTAGAAAATCCATAGTAACATGTACAATGAGGAAGCTTCCTCAAGCCCAACTATACAGGTCAGATCGGTTGAAAAAATAAAACTAACACATTTTTACATGTCAAAATATGCAATATTTGAAAATCCAAGGCTAGTATCTTTAAATAGGCAAAGATTTATTAATACTCCTTGACACACAAACAGGAAGTGAGAAAATGGGCAAGTGACACAAATCGATAATTAACTGTGAGGACATAGGTGGTGGAGTCTCTCCTAATCCTCTATTCTTGGAGATCTGGATGCCTGCCATTCGCGTATGGGAAGAACAGAGACGGTCATGGAAAACAGCATTTAATCTAGAAAGGACCATAATGAGGTCAAAGGGCGGTCTCAGGGCAGTCTTAAGAGCTCCCCATCCCCAAAGAACTGGCAAGGACTCTCCAGGTGCTCGTATGCGACTGCTGCCCAACTCCCATCACGAACTCAGAAGACCTGTCATTTTCTGAAATTTTCATGACTTCTAAGACACTAGTTACTGGGGGAAAACTTCAAATTATTTAAATTATGAGAGGCGAATAACATTGCTAAACTCATGAATACTCTGTATTTAAAACCTCTACTGGCGATCAGGGCACATAGAATCTCTACTACTGATCCCTGACGCTGGCCATCCCCCAACCCGTCGGCCCACGGACCCCAGCCCTGACCCCACCTCCTCCCAGCATCTTACACAAGGATTCTCACCACACTCCCCAGAGACTCGCCTGCCCAGGGCCCCTCTCTAACCCCATATAGCTCAGGTCTCTGACCCCGAGACAGCATCACCGACCTCTCCCACTACCTATTTCCAGATTAGAGTCCCTGATCCCAGAGGCATTGTCTAAAATAACTAGCTCTTACAACTACGTCCACTTCAGGAACCGCCCTGTGATGTCAGAACTTTGAGGCCGCCCGGCCAGGGCTGCACATGCTCAGTGAGGCCGGCGCCCGCCAGTAACAAACATGGCTCCCTGAAGCCGCTCAGGCTCAAGAGCAACATGGGGGTCTGCACTTAATCGCTCCTCTCCGGGGGCGGCCATACTGAGGAGGCATCTCTTCCGTGCAGGCAGGCTGTCCTGGGGACCTCAGAGATTCTCTCCAGCGGCAGCGGAAAATGGGCAATGGGTGGATTCGGGTCCAGATTCTGGCAGGAGGGAGTTTGGGATCGAGATCTGGAAAAAAGCACTAGACTGGAAGAGGACGCGATGGAGTCGGAGCCGCTGGCGGGGACAAAACCAGAGGCGGTGGAAGGCGCCGGTGGGAGGCAAGGCACGGATGGACTTTACCTGCGCACGCGTCGCAGCCATCTCCGCGCACAGTGGTGGCCACCGCGACTGGTGCTGAAGTGTCGGCGCGTGCCGGGCGCTCCGCTGGGACCGGGGTTGCTGGCCCTGAGTCTGAGCTTTCTCATCTGTACGATTGGGACAAGTACAGTAACCCTCGCCCGTCAAGACGGGCCAGGGCTGTCGCGAGGGTCCACGCCTTAGAGCAGGCACCTATCTTCTGCAGGGCCCTGAGATGGGGTCTGACTCAGTTCCTGCGGGGAACTTCACCAGTACCCAGTCAGTGCCCTTCAGTTAAAGACCACCAGGAGCACACTTGTAATTACATTGCAGCAAGGAATGGGGTACTATGGGTCATCTCAGTGGGAGGAGTTAGAGAGAAACTATTATACGATTTGGGCTTTAATTGGTTGATTTCGGACAGGATCTCAGAAAGTGAAGACTTTAGATTGGATGCTGTCAGAAAGCAGGAGCAATATGATTATTAAGTATTTTGTGGGTGGCATCAAGACCTTGTTTTTTATCTGCACTTAGACAACATTATAAAGTGCCCTTGTTTTTGTTTGCACTTATCACGGTCTCAGATTAACCTTCTGAAGTTGATATTCTGTGAGATTGTTTATGTCCAACAGGAAAACAAAATGTCCTGGCCATGAGCATCAGACTAGCGTGTAATAACATTAAGGCCTGTGACCCAAATATTGACAGAATTGAAGTTAGAAATAGTTCTACAGTAATAGAGTCTTCAATACTCCATTTAAAATAATGCATAGAAGCTGGACATGGTGGCTCATGCCTTTAATCTCAGCTACCTGGGAGGCTGCGGCAGGTGGATTGCTTGAGGTCAGGCGTTCGAGACCAGCCTGGGCCTTTTGGCCTGTCTCGGCTTTTAACATACCTTCCTCACTCAGCTTAATCATTTCTCACTTTAGATTTATAATAAGAGATGTGTGACTCTTACTTTCACTTGAACACAGAGGCCTTTATAGAGTTATTAATTGGCCTAATTTCAATATTGCTGTGTCTCAGAAAACAGACCTGAGGAGAGGGGGAGATGGAGGAAGGGCAGATCGATGGAACCATTCGAATACACATAGGTATCAATTAAGCTCATTGTCTTTTGGACCATGGCTTGTGATGCCCCAAAACAATGACAATAGTAATATCAATGATCACTGATAACAGATCACCATAACAGATATAATAATAACAAAACATTTGAAATACTACAAGAATTACAAAGATGTAACACAGAGGTGCAAAATAAGCACATGCTACCAGAAAAGTGGCACTGGTAGACTTGCTTGGTGCACGGTTGCTACAAACCTTCAACCTGTAAAAACTGCAATATCTGAGAAGCATAATAAAGTGAAGTGCAATAAAACAAGGTAAGCTTGTATATGTATGCATGCACACACCAATACACATCCATCTATCCACACACAAATCTTTGTACTAACAAAGCCTGTATTTTCAATTCCAGCAATACATCATTTGTACCTTAAAAATATCTGTCATCCTTGTAGTGTTCTTTTCTGTCTTTGTTATCAGGGTAATGCTGGCCTCATAAAAAATGTTTGGAAGTGTTCCCTCCTCTTCAACTTTTGGAAGTGTTTGTGAAGAAATGGTATTAATTCTTCTTCAAACATTTGGTAGAATTCTCCACTAAGCTATCTTGTCTTGGATTTTCCTTTTTCAGGAGCTTTTTGACTACTGACTCAATATTTTTACTCATTATTTATCTGTTTTTATTTTATATTTCTTCATGTTTCAGTCTTAGTGGATGTATGTTTCTAGAAATTTCTCTATTCTAAGTTAAACAATTTGTTGACACATAGTTGTTTAGACTATTATTATCCTTTGTATTTCTATGGTACCAATTTTAATATCTCCTTTTTTGTTCTAATTTTATTTACTTGAGATTTCTTTTTTCTTAGCCTAGTGATAGGTTGGTCAATTTTTATTATCTTTTCAAAAAATCAGCTCTTCATTTCATTGATCTTTTCTATTGTTTTTCTAGTCTATTTCATTTATTTCTGCTATGATCTTTGTTATTTCCTTCTTCTAATTTTGGGCTTGATTTTTTTTTCTATTTTTTGAGGTTTATTTGAGATCTTTTTTCTTTATTTAGCACTTATCTGTATAAACTTCCCTCTCTTAGAATGGCTTTTGCTTCATCTCATAAGTTTTAGTATGTCGTGCTTTCATTTTAGTTTGTCTCAAGTTATTTTATTTCTTTTTTGATGTTTTCTTTGATCTACTGGTTATTGAGGAGTGTGTTGGTTGATTTCCACATATTTGTCACTTTTCTAAGTTTTCTCCTGTTTTTAATTTTCAGTTTCATGCCACTGTAGTCAAAAAGAATACTTGGTGAGATCTCAATATTCTTAAATTTGCTAAGACTTGTTTTCTGGCCTAATATATGACCTATGTTGGAGAATGTACTGTGTATGCTCGAGAAGAATGTGTATTTTGCTGTTTTGGAAAGGAATGTCATGTATATGTCTGGTCCATTTGATCTATAGTGTAGTTCACGTCAGCTGTTTCTTTAATGATTATCTGTCTGAATGATTAATCCATTGTTGAAAGTGGGATATGGAAGTCCCCTACTGTTATTGTATTATTGTTGTCCACTTCTCTCTTCAGATTTGTTAATATTTGCTTTATATAATTAGGTGCTCCAATGTTGGGAGAATATATATTTGCAGTAGTTATATCCTCTTGATGAATTGACCCTTGTATCATTCTATAATGACTTTCTTTGTCTCTTGTTACAGTTTTTGACTTAAAATCTATTTTGTTTGTTGTAAGAATAGCTACTCTTTGTCTTTTTTTGTTCCCTCTCTTTCAGTCTATGTGTGTCTCTAAAGGTGAAGTGAGTCTCTTATAGGTGGCATATATTTGGTTCTTGTTATACTATCCATTCAGCCACTCTGTGTCTTTTGTTTCACTGATTTGGTCCACTGATATTTAAAGTAACTATTGATAGGCATTTTGTAGTTTTTTTGTTCTTTTATTTCTCTCTTGCTGTGCATGATTTGATTACTTTCATTATTTTCTGTAGTGGTATACTTTGATTCTTTGCTGTGCCTTTGTATTAATTCTTTTTTAAACATGTGGTAAAATTCTCATTTGTGTATCTGTTACATGTTTGTCTTTGTGATTATCATGAGGCTTACATAAAACATTGTATGCTATCGTGTGCCACACAAGGATGTTTTGGTCAATGATGGGCCACATATACAACGGTGGTCCCATAAGGTTATAACATTTTTATTGTACCTTTCATATGTTTAGATACATTAGATATACAAATGCTTATGATTGTATTACAGTTGCCTATAGCATTCAGTATAGTACAGTGCTGTACAGATTTGTAGCCTGGAAACAATAGGTTATACCATATAGCCTGGGTGTGTGTTAGCTAGTATTATCTAATTTTGTGTAAGTATACTCTATGATATTCACACCATGACAAAATTGCATTATTCAGAACATATCTGCATTAAGAAATGCATGATTGTAGTTATAATGGTCTATTTTAAGTTGATAACAACTTAACTTCAATCATATAAAAAAACCCTACACTTTACTCCCCTCCACTTATGTTTTTTGATGTCAGAGTTTCTTTCTTTGTATATTTTGTAATTATATTTATTTGTAGTATTTTTTGTCTTTTAACCTTTTAAAAGTTAAAGTGATTATACTGCATCATTACAGTATTAAGAGTATTTTGAATTTGACTGTATAGTTACCAGTGACTTTTTATAACTACATATGGTTTCATGATACTAATTAGTCTTATTGCATTTCAGTTTGAGGAACTCCCTTTAGGGTTTCTTATAAAGCAGATCTAGTGACAGTGGACTCCCCTAGATTACTCTGGGGGGTTTCTGAAAAAGTCTGTAAGTCTTAGCCAGAGCAATTAGGTAAGAAAAAGAAATAAAAGGCATCCAAATTGGAAAAGAAGTGAAAGTGTGTCTATTTCAAGATGACATGATCTTATACAGAGAAAATTCTAAAGGCTCCAAAAAGAAAACTTGTTAAAATTAAGAAACAAATTCAGCAAATTTACAGAACACATAATTGACATTAAAAAAAAAAAAAAACAACCTGTTGCATTTCTATATACTAACAGTGAACTATCCCAGAAAGAATTTAAGAAAACAATCTCGGGCTGTGCGCGGTGGCTCACGCCTGTAATCCCAGCAATTTGGGAAGCTGAGGCAGGTGGATCATGAGGTTAGGAGATCGAGACCATCCTGGCTAACACAGTGAAACCCCATCTCTACTAAAAATACAAAAAATTAGCCGGGCATGGTGGCAGCCACCTGTACTTGGGAGGCTGAGGCAGGAGAATGGTGTGAACCTGGGAGGCAGAGCTTGCAGTGAGCTGAGATCACGCCACTGCACTCCAGCCTAGGTGACAGAGCGAGAGTCCATCTGAAAGAACACAATCTCATTTACAATAGCATCAAAAAATTAACTTAGGAATAAATTTAAATCAGAAAGTAAAATTTCTATATACCAAAAACTATAAAACACTGATGAAAGAATTTGAAGATAAAAGAATCTCTATTACTCAGTGTGATCTACAGATATAATGCAACCCCTATCAAAATTTCAGTGGCATTTTTCAAAGAAATGGAAAAAAGCAATTCTAAAATCTGTGTGCAACAGACCCCAAACAGTCAAAACATCATTGAGCAGAAAAAACAAAAGTGGAAGCATCACATTACCTTATTCCAAACTAAATTATAAAGCTATAGTAATTAAAATAGTATGGTACTGGCATAAAAACAGACATGTAGGCCAAGGGAAAAGAATAGAGAGCACAGAAACAAATCCATGCCTTTACAATCAATTGATCTTCAGCATTGGTGCCAAGAAAACACAATGATAAAAGTTTAGTCTCTTTAATAAATGGTGTTGGGAAAACTGGATATCCACATGCAGAAGAATGAAACTGAACCCTTATCTGACCCTACATACAAAAATTGACTCAAAATTGATAAAAGACCTCAACCTAGGAGCAATATTGTAAAACTCTTAGACATAAATATAGGAGAAAAGCTCCTTGACACTGGTATTGGTAATAAATTTTCAGATTTGACACCAAAAGTATAGACAACAAAAGCAAAACTAGACAAATGGGACTAAACCAAAAGATTCAGCACAGCAAAGGAGACAATCAATACAATGAAAAGACAACCTAAAGAATGGGAGAAAATATTTACATGCTATATATCTGATAAGAAGTTAATATCCAAATAAATTAGGAACTCAGATGATTCCAAAGGACCTTGTATTAGTCTGTTTTCATGCTGCTGATAAAGACATACCTGAGACTGGGTTATTTATAAAGGAAAAAGAGGTTTAATGGACTCACAGTTCAATATAGGTGGGGAGGCCTCATGATCACAGTTGGAAGGTGAAAGGCAGGTCTTACATGACAGCCAGCAAGGCAGGATGAAAGCCAAGCAAAAGGGGAAACCCCTTATAAAGCAATCAGATCTTGTGAGATTTATTTACTACCACGAGAAAAGTATGGGAGAAACTGCCCCCATGATTCAATTGTCTTCTGCCAGGTCCCTCCCACAACATGTGGGAATTATGGGAACTACAATTCAAGATGAGATTTGGGTAGGGACACAGCCAAATCATATCATTCTGCCCTGGCTCCTCCCAAATCCCATGTCTTCACATTTGAAAGCAAATTACGCCTTCCCAACAGTCCCCCAACATCTTAACTCATTTCAGCATTAACTCAAAAGTCCACTCTCCAAAGTCTTATCTGAGACAAGGCAAGTCCCTTCCAGCTATGAGCCCATAAAGTCAAAAGCAAGTCAGTTACTTTCCAGATACAATGGAGGTACAGGGAGGGGGTAAATATACCTGTTCCAAATGGTTGAAATTGGCCAAAACAAAGAGGCTACAGGCCCCAAATCCAAAACTCAGCAGTCCAGTCAAATCTTAAAGTGCCAAAATGCACTCCCTTGACTCCATGTCTCACATCCAGGTCACACTTATGCAAGAGGTGGGCTCCCACGGCCTTGGGCAGCTCCACCCCTGTGGCTTTGCAGGACATATCCCCCCTCCTGGTTGCTTTCATGAGCTGGCATTGTCTGTGGCCTTCCCGTGTGCATGGTCAAGCTGTTGGTGTATCTACCATTCTGGTGTCCAGAGGACGGTGGCCTACTTCTCACAGCTCCAGTAGGCAGTACCCGAGTGGGGACTCTGTGGGGGCTTCAACCCTACATTTCCCTTCTGCACTGTCCTAGCAGAGGTTTTCCATGAGGGCCCCCCGCACCCCACAGCAAAATGCTGCCTGGACATCTAGGTGTTTCCATACATCCTCTGAAATCTAGGCAGAGGTTCCCAAACCTCAGTTCTTGACTTCTGTGCACCCACAGACTCAACACCATGTGAAACTGCCAAGGTTTGGGGCTTGCGCCCTCTGTAGCCACAGTCCACGCTGTACCTTGGCCCCTTTTAGCCATGGCTAAAGTGGCTGGGATGCAGGGCATCAAGTCTCAAAGTGGCACACAGCAGGGGGCCTCTGAATCCAGCCCAGGAAACCATTTTTTCCTTTTAGGCCTCCTGGCCTGTGATGGGAGGGACTGCCACAAAGGTCTCTGACATGTCCTGGAGATATTTTCCCCATTGTCTTGGGGATGAACATTTGGGTCCTTGTTGCTTATGCAAATTTCTGCAGCTGGCTTGAATTTCTCCTCAGAAAATTGGTTTTTCTTGTCTATCACATCGTTTGGCTGCAAATTTTCCAAAGTTTTATGCTGTTTCCTTTTAAAGCTGAATGCTTTTAACAGCACCCAAGTCACCTCTTGAATGCTTTGCTGCTTAGAAATTTATTCTGCCAGCTACCCTAAATCATCTCCTTCACGTTCAAATTTCCACAAATCTCTAGGGCAGGGGCAAAATGCTGCCAGTCTCCTTGCTAAAACATAGCAAGATTTACCTTTACTCCAGTTCCCAACAAGTTCCTCATCTCCGTCTCAGACAACCTCAGCCTGAATTTCATTGTCCATATCATTATTAGCATTTTGGTCAAAGCTACTCAACAAGTCTCTAGGGAGTTCCAAATTTTCTCATGTTTTTCTGTCTTTCTGTGAGCCCTCCAAACTGTTCCAACCTCTGCCTCTTACCCAGTTCCGAAGTTGGTTCCACATTTTTGGATAACTTTACAGCAGCACGCCACTCTACCAGTACCAATTTACTGTATTCATCTGTTTTCATGCTGCTCATAAAGGCATACCAAAGACAGTGTGATTTATAAAGAAAAAGAGGTTTAATGGACTCACAGTTCCATGAGGCTGGGGAGGCCTTACTTATGGTGGGAGGCTAAAGGCACATATTACACAGCAGCAGGCAAGACAGAATGAAAGCCAAGTGAAAAAGGAAATCGCTTATAAAACAATCGGAACTTGTGAGGCTTATTTACTACCACAAAAACAGTATGGGGAAAACTGCTCCCATGATTCAACTGTCTCCTACTGGGTCCCTCCGATAACACATGGGAATTATGGGAGCTACAATTCAACATGAGATTTGGGTGGGGACACAGCCAAAGCATATCAGACCTGAAGAGATACATTTCTAAAAGACATACGATTGACAATAGGTATATACTAATAAAAGGATGTTTGCCATCACTAATCATCAGGAAAATGTACAATGAGATATCACTTCACATCTATTAGGATGGCTATTGTAACAGTAAAAAGGTAACAAATGTTGCTGCGGATATTGAGAAAAAGAAACCCTTGTGCTTAGTTGATAGTTGATGGGAACGTAAATTGGTACAGCCATTAGTGACAACAGTATGGAGTTTCCTCAAAAAATTAAAAATGGAACTCCCATATAATCCAGCAATCCCCATCTGGGTATATATCCAAAGTAAAGAAAATCACTATCTCAAAGAGATATGTATACTTACATGTTCATTGCAGTGTTATGTACACAGCCAAGATATGGAAACTACCTGTGTCCATTGACAGATGGATGTTTTAAATGTATTACACACACACACACACACACACACACATATGTAATGGAATATCATTCAGCCTTTAAAAATGAGGAAATACTGCCATTTGTAACAAGATGGACAAACCTGGAGTTTATTATGGTAAGTAAAATAAGCCAGGAACACACACAGAAATATCCTGCATGATTTCACTTATATGCATACTTAAAAAATGTCAAACTCATGGTAAGAGAGTAAAATAGTGCTTACCAGGGCCTGGGAGTTGGGGGAAAAGAAAAAATGTTTGTCACAAGGTACAAACTTTCAGTTATAAGATGAATAAGTTCTGGAGATCTAACGTACAGCATAGTGACTAAAGTCAATAATAATGTATACTTGAAATTTGCTGAAAGAGTAGATCTCAAATATTCTCCACCACACAAACACAAATAAAAAGGTAACCAGGTGAGGTGATGAATATGTTAGCTTGATTGTGGTAATCATCACTTCACAATGTATATGTATATCAAAATATCACACTGCACACCTTAACTATATACAATTTTTCTTTGTTAATCAATAAAACTGGCAAAAATATCTGTTATATGTTGCCTTGACTCCATTTCTTCTTATTTTGTCAAAATAGATAGTCCTCATTGTTTGCATGTTTAGAAACTTGTGCTACATCTAGAAGCCAGGAGCGGGGTAGGGTGAACTAAGTTACTGATTCTTTAGGAACCTTAGGGTGTAAGGTGGGACTGGAGTTCAAGGCCTAGGAGCTGAGTCTGGTCTTGATCAGCCTCTTTTTTTGTTTTGTTTTGTTCTGTTTTGAGACGGGGTCTCACTTTGTTGCCCAGGCTGGAGTGCAGAGGCACGATCTGGGCTCACTGCAACCTCTGCCTCCCAGGCTCAAGCAATCCTCTCACCTCAGCCTCCCAAGTAATGGGAACCACAGCCATGTGCCACTATGCCTAGCTAATTTTGTTGTATTTTTGGCAGAGATGGGGTTTCGCCTTGCTGCCCAGGCTGGTCCTGAACTCCTGAGCTCAGGTGATCCACCCACCTCGGCCTCCCATAGTGCTGGGATTACAGGTACGAGCCACCACGCCTTGCCATGAGCAGCCTCTTCTGATATCCGTGGTGTGTTCTGTACACTTTTTTTTTGTCTGAATGCACCTTTCCTTTCTCCTCCCTTGCACTCCAGAACCGTGGATACTCAAGTCTATCCGGAACCATATAGAGGGGGAGCTTTGAGTGCTATATGAAATTCATTTATGATATCATTCTTCATTCCTTCACAGAAGTAACTCAGAGTTCAATTAGGGATTCACATGGTAAATTTGTCTTAATGCTCCAAGTGGGCTTAAAGGAACTTCCTTCTTGTCGGCCATCATGTTTGTATACAACTGTAATGGGAATTTGAGTTTGTATGACTAGTGTCATGAGCACTCATGTTTGTGAGCACACCTCTGCATCTGCTATTTCTTCTATTGGCCTACAGACTTTTCCTTCTTTAGGATATTATCAACTTGAATTCAAATTTTTATCAAAAATTGGACCTAGCTCTTTTTATTCATATTTTCCTGCTACATTTTTTCCACTAATTTATTTTCGATAGGTTATATTGTGTTTTTTGACACTTAAAAATTTTACCTGACAATCTTAACCTTTGATTTATGTAATTATTGTTCCATTATGACTTCTTTCTGTCATCTCATTTATGATTTTTCATACTTTACTGTGTCTTTTTTCCTATTTGTACCTCTCACTCTATAGATCAAAAATTTTTCATTTGTTTGAAATCTGGAAATTTTTAACATTGTAATGGTGGTTATGTCATTACTTTTGTTAATTTTCTCAATTTCCTCCATGTGTCAAAATTAATATCATCTCAGCAAACCAAATAAGTACTCTAGCCTCCTCTTGCCACCTCTGGTTTGCTTTCTCTGTTACGACAGCACTTTGTCTAAGGTGGTACTTTCTGAAGTTTACTCGGAGTTGTTTTCAATATGTTATGTTTTCATGTATGTTTTAGGGTATGATAAACACCACTACCATTGATTCTGGAACCCTCAATTCTAACACCACGGTGTATTTCTCTTCTTAGTGGAGTATGTCCTCTAGGCATTTTCAAAGGGATTTATTTGAAATAAAACTTTTGAGGCCTTACTTTATAATGTCTTTTTCTGTGCTTTCATATTTAAAAGATTTTGGCTGCAAATAATTCAAGGATTAAAAATTGTTTCCTTTTAATCCTTGAAAAATATTACTTCATTTTATTCTTGTCTCCAGCATTGCTGTTGGAAAGGCTGATGCCAATCAAAACCAATTTTTCCCTAAAGGATGATCTGTCTTCTCATCATTTTGACAGGATGTAACAAAACAAAGGAGTCTTCAATGTTGTGAGTATAAATCATTTTGCAATTATAAACTTAACTTAAATATTAATGCAATACAAAAAGAATTAAAACCTTCTTGAGACATGCAAGTGCACAGGAAAATTAACTATCATGCACTCATTCAGGAAGAAAAGGTGCAAAAGAAATTTAATGAAAGAGACGGTCGTTAGATGCAAGTGTGGTTGAATGTAGGGATGCGATGCTGACAAGTGGCAGCAGGCCTGGCAAGCTGTCTCTCCCAATTCAACTACTTCAGAAAGAGAAGAATATTAACTAGGCTATCTTGGTGATGTGTTGAAAAAAGGTGCTATGTTTCCTTTTTAATCATTCAAAACAAAGGTAGTAAAATTCCTGGGAAATAAGAAATAATGCATCATAAATGTATAAAAATAGAAGAAAATACTATATTTTTATGAATTTAAAATGCCAGCTATTGTAGATTGTTATCTCTTTTCAGAAGTGCTTTAAAATTGATGGCACATAGTAAAAAAATGGCATAAATTCCAACAATTAATGGAAAAACATTAATCCATCTTCTTGAATCTTGGAACCAGGATTCTTTTGGGAGGCTTCGGTGTATCTGTGTATCATTTCATTGCCTTCACACAAATCAAATCATGCCACCTGCGACTGTGGTTTGAAAAAAAAAGAAAACATAATAATGATGCTGTCAATTCACCTGAGATTCCATGATCAAAATTAACCTATGAACAAAGCACAGACTTTATTATAATTACAAAATAGGATGTAATTTACATAAAATGTGAAAATATAAGTATAGAACCATATTTGATACAAGTCGAAAGCTATGACAGGGACTGTTGGAGGGGAGGGAAGTTGTACACTAATCTCCACATCCTACTGAGCCAATCAGTGTTGTTCAAATTGGATGGACTGTATATTTAAACAATATATTATTTAAGCAAAGAATTAAGCACTGTAAGTATATTATTTAGAGGAAGCAAATTTTTAAAAATCCCTTAAAATTATATATTAAAGACTAAATTGGAAATATAGTTTTAGAAGAAGAAAGTGGGGTAAATGGGCTAGGTGCAGTGGCTCACGCCTGTAATCCCAGCACTTTGGGAGGCCAAGGCGGGCGGATCACGAGGTCAGGAGACCAAGACCATCCTGGCTAACGCGGTGAAACCCTGTCTCTACTAAAAATACAAAAAATTAGCCGGGCGTGGTGGCTGGTGCCTGTAGTCCCAGCTATTCAGGAGGCTGACGGAGGAGAATGGCGTGAACCCGGGAGGCGGAGCTTGCAGTGAGCCGAGATAGCGCCACTGCACTCCAGCCTGGGTGAGGGAGTGAGACTCCGTCTCAAAAAAAAAAAAAAAAAAGAAAAAAGAAAAAAGAAAAGAAAGTAGGGTAAATGAGCTATATTCTCTATCGTTCATAAAAAGTCAAGGGATATTACTTAAAACTGATAAAACAAATTAGGTGATTATATAATATTATTTACAGTTCAAGAGAATAGCATATAGTAAAAAAAAGAGTATGATAAAACCTGCCTAACTCTGAAAAACAGGACCAAGGTCTGTGGAAGGAAAAAAAAAGTTTCTGGTTTCCACTGATTTTTTTGCCATCAAACTGTTTGAATGATTTTCCATGCACATGTGTTGCTTTAATTTAAAAATGTTCTTACTCACAGATCCCCTTGAATTACGTGTAAAATTAGGTTTCCTTTAGTCAATGGTGTATGAAAAGTAATCAACTCATCTAACTGAAGTTAGACATTAATAAATTATAATTTGGGGGATAACATAAATATACCTATTAAAAACAACCAGAACATAACAGTTGGCTCTATGTTCTGCTTATCTAGGAATTTTTAAAATTATAAAAAAAAAAAGGAGTTTCACATTTTTAAAGAAACATTAGGAATAAAAATGTAAGTGTTTCTCTTGGATAAAGCTCTTAAAATCACTAGTAGAATAAAGTCAATCTAGATTAAAATTTATATTTTCAAATTTATAATATGACCAATATTGCCATCAAAATGTTCAGGCACAGAACATTTTAAAGTAGCTATTTTATTGTTTCTCAACATCCTCTTTCCTTCTATGATTGGCATCACAAATCATGATTGGGACATCTTATCAAAGAACTATACTTGTAGTTTTTGAGTGAAAAGCAAGGGAGAAATTTTATTTGTGCCTTGACCTTATTGATAATGTGTAACTTGTGATGGCCACTATCAATAGAACTATCAACAGATTCGAAGGGCACTGTTTGTTCCTTTAATATGGAGAAATATCGCAAATAACTGGGAAATAATTTAATGACTGAAGCCTTCATTTTTAATCATATAGCTGAGTGATATTTTAAGTTTGATGAGAATAAACATTTGAACAAAAATAGCCAATTCCCTGTTTCATAATTTAATACATTTGTGTTAAAAGGTTTAGATGATAAAGTTAATTTTGAAATGCATTATAAATAACTAAGTAGCAATCATTAAGTTCATTTTTAAATAACTGTTTAGATAACTTAGTAATTAGCAATCATTAAGTTCATTTTTAACTAACTGTTTAGTCCACAAAAGATAAAAAATATATTTTAGAAGGAGAGGGCATTCCAAAATCTGTCTCAGGGACATTTAATGTCAAATATCTTTCAATGAAGCAGAAATGTAAATACATGTTTAGATAATTTAGGTTAAAAAAGGTAAATTTTGGTTGCCTGCTTAACTTTTATGAAACAGATATTTTCATTCAAGTCCAGCATATATTTTGCTATGACTTCCACATCCTTTCCTCAGAGAATATTTACCTAAACATTAGGGTACCAAAGGAACTAGGAAACAAAAACTTCTTATTAGAGAGAGAAATTTTTAAGTGAGGCACACATTCTAATGATAGTAATTTGTTTTTGACATTTTATTAATATTTTGATAACACTAATAAAATCCAAAGGGGCAAGCAGGTATTACTGTCTCAGGGTGGGCCCTCTTTTGTCATCCTCTGTAAGATCGCAGTCATCAAAGAGCGTGACCCAAGAAGAAAGTAAAACAGTGGAACAAATGAGCATTTCTCTAAATACAAACAGTAGAGTCCTTGAGAAAGAATCCTTTAAGGCCTTAGATTTCTTTAAACATTTTTAGATAAATAGTCTGGCCTATGCAGAACAAAATGAAATGGTGATAATGAACAGGATAGTGAAGTTTTGTACTGACATAAATGGCGAGTTGATTAATGCTTAGGATAGTGTGAAAGAAGAACTGAATGAAAAATGAAAATCGAAAGAAGAAATACCCAGACAGACCCTTTCCTAAAACATGCATCATAAAATATTTAAAAGCATCTGCTTTAATGCATGGGCTGAGTCAAAGTAAGGCAAATTTTCAGATATCTAGAAGAGCAAAAAAAGTCTGAATCCAGAGGTGTGAGTGTCTCATCTGGCATTTGCCCTGCGGTGCCTCCCAGGACCTACTGGCCCAGACCCATGAGCACCTAATTCAGGAAACAGAGACTGATGCCCATGCAGGAAGGAATATAGGCTAAAATGCCTCCTGCATAAATCTAGGATTTCTAAAAAGAAGCACGTTAAGTGCCTGGGCTAGGAAAATCCCACCCCCATAAGAAAGTGAAAATATGTGCTTGTCTTGGTCCCAATAGGGTAGACAAAAAAATGAAAAATAAAAAACGTATGATAATTTCTAAATACAAAACAATAGCCATATTGGTTTGGGTTTGAATTCACACTATCTATGGGCCTGAGAAATACCAGGGTGGAAATTAGCCTCTGGTAGCAAGAGCTGAGGCCAGCCAGACTTCCTGGGTCGAGTGGGGACTTGGGGAAATTTCCTGTCTTACCAGAGGATAGTAAAATGCACCAATCAGGAACTTACCTGTCTCACGAGTTCTGTGAAATGTACCAATCAGCGCTCTGTAAAACGCACCAATCCATGCTCTGTAAAACACACCAATCAGCGCTCTGTAAAACACACCAATCAGCAAGCTCTGTAAAAACGCATCAATCGGCAGGATTCTAAAAGTAGTCAATCACAGGGAGGATTGAAAAAAGGGCACTCTGATAGGATAGAAACGTGACAAATAAGGGAATAAAACCTGGCCACCCCCCCACCCCCACCCCAGCAGCAGCAACCTGCGTGGGTGCTCTTCCCCGTTGTGGAAGCTTTGTTCTTTAGCTCTTCCCAATAAACCTTGCTACTGCTCACTCTTCGGGTCCTTGCCATCTTTAAGAGCGGTAACACTCACCGTGAAGGTCGGCGGCTTCATTCTTCAAGTCAGCAACACCACGAACCCACCAGAAGGAATCAACTCTGGACACAGCAGTCCTGAGAGCTAATTAATCTGAGTAGAATCATAAAGATAAATATATTTTTCACACATACTTGGAAACATATTTTGTAACACAGCTTTTCTTGTGGTTAAGTGAAGATAGTAAATTTTACAATAAGCAACACTGGGACCACTGGTCTCCATAAGGGGGAAAAAAGGAAATTGAAACTTAATCCCATAGACCAAACCTAAAAATATATTTTAATGGATAAAGATACCTTCTCAACATTCTTAGAAAAAAACTGTGGAGCATCTCTTTTATCTTTACATAGGGAAGAAGAACAAACGGCAAGAGTAAAAACTAACTTGATCACATAAAAATTTAAGACTTCTGTTTATTGGATACCGCAATGAGAAAAAAATATGCAAAACTTGGCAGAGATATTTGCAACACATGTTACCTAGACAGGTTTAGTATCCAGAATATATAAAGCTCTCCTATAAATTAATAAGTGAAAAATAACACCTCAAGAAGTTAGCATAAATAGCCCATAAGCATGTGAAAAAGTGCTCAACCTAATAATAATCATGAAAATGAAAATTAACAATTAGATACCCTTTCACACATATTGACAAAATTTTTTGGAAGTTCTGAAAGGTGTAGTATTGGCAAGGATAAAGAACCGTGGAAGCATTCATCCCATGCAAGTAGAAGGACAGCCATTTGGAAAACGGATGTTAGCTCATACAGCTGATCATGCATGTACCCTATGACCCAGTGGCTTCACTACAACCTAGTGCAATCTAGTCAGCCTGTTACAGGCCCCAGAAAAATTCTTGCATTTGTTTACCTAGGGATATATGAGAATGTTCACAATTTTAAAAACCTGGAAACAATCCAGTTATCTCTCAATATGGGTAGATTGTGGAATAGGTAACTAAATGATCATATATTCCAATAATAGAGTACCTCGCAGCACTAAGAGTGAATGAACTGCAGCTACTCACATTCTCAAACACAGCACTGCAATGAGATACTACTGCATGCATATTAGAATGGCAAAAATCCAGAACTCTGACAACACCAAATGGTGATGAGGATGTGAAGCAACAGGAACTCTCATTCAGTGCTGATGGAAATACAAAATGGAGAATAGTTTTGTGGCATCTTAGAAAACTAAATCCACTCTTATTATACGACCCCGCAATCTTGTTTCTTGGTATATACCCAAAGGAGTTGAAAACTTATGTCCACACAGAAACCTGCACACAGATGTTTATGGACGTTTTATTTATAATTGCAAAAATTTGGAGACAAGATTACCTTCAGTAGGTGAATAATTAAACAAACTGTATTACATCCAGACAACTGAATACCATTCAATGATAAAATAAATGGCTGTCAAGCCATGAAAAGACACAGTGGAAGCTTACATGCATATTGCAGAATGAAAGAAGCCAATCTAAAAAGGCTACGTATGTCACTTCCAACTTTATGACCTTCTGGAAAAGGTAATACTATAGAAATAGAAAAAAAAATCAGTGGTTCCCAGGAGTTAGGAGGAAGAGAGGGATGAATAACCAGAGCACAGAGGATGCTTAAGGCAGTGAAAGTACGTGTATGATATTTTAATAGTGAATACTTGTCATTGTAAATTTGTCCAAGCCCAAGTGTGAACCTTAATGCAAACTATAAGATGTATCATGTAGGTTCTTTAATTGTAACAAATGCACCACTCTGGTGGGGGATGTTTATTATGGGGGAGGCTATGCATGTGTGGGGGACAGGGAGTATATGGGAAATCTATACCTGCTGCTCAGTTTTGCTGTGAACTTTGAACTGCTCTTAAAAATAATGTGTGTATGTGTGTATATATACATACATATACATGTTTGTGTGTATGCATATCTGATCATAAGAAACAATACATAGTTTCACTTATTTAAAAAGTCAAATGTGCAAAACTAAACAATATACAAGTCTGTAATGACAAGCAATGGAATGATTAACAGGAAGTTAGGGATAGTGGTTACCTCTTGTGGAAGGAGTGAGTGGCATTGTAGAAGGGCAATGGGAGTTTCTAAGATACTGGAAATATTCTATTTCATAACCTGAAGGAAGGACACATATGCTCATTTTATATTCTTCTTAAGCTGTACATACACACTTTTATATTTATGATCTATTTCATTAAGTAATAAGACAATTAAATATATGCATTTGTAAATAAGTGAGATTAACAAATTTTTGGATACATTTAACTTATTAAAGTTGACTCAAATAATTAGAAAATCTGGATGGAAATCATACCATTAAAGTAATTGAGTTGATAATTAATAATTCTACAAAGAAAACAGGATGCCCAGATGATGTCACAAGTAGTTCCAATGTTACACTAATTATTTGCGAGGGGAGAAAAAAGAGGCCATTCTTCAATTCATTTGAGACTAGGGTAACCTTGCTATTGTGTACCTCATCCATGCACACAGAGACAAATATTGTAAACAAAATACTAGGAAGTATACCTAGCAAAGTATAAAAACCATGAACAAGCTCGGTTAGTAATACAAATTTAGTTCAATGTTAGAAAATCTACTGAAATCATCTCCTTATCAATGAATTAAAGACAAAAGTTATATGATTGTCTCAAAAGGCCTATAAAATTATTTTACAAAAATTAAATAATTCATGATATTTCCACCTATGAATAAAGGGTAATTTCCTTAACCTGATAAAAGGAGTCAACAAATAACCTACAGCACCTATCATGTTTTGTGATTAAAAATATCGAAATCACTCCTTTTAAAATCAAGAAAAAGACAAGAGTACCATTGTCACTAAACTGCTTCCAAAGCTTATACGGAAGATAAAAGGGCCCAGTATAACTAAGACAATCCCATAGAAGACTAAAGTGTGTGAAGGTGGGAGGTGGAGCTTATGTGAGTCTATCACGTACCAGATTTACTGTGAAGTTATAATTACCACAGCAGGAATTGCTATTGTGAAAGTGTATGCTTGTGTGAAATCTTGATGTATGCCCTGGCTAACATTACAGAACAGTCAGAAAGGGTCTATATAATCCATGGTATGAGCAGTTGGTATCCATATGGGAAAATATCAGAATGGATCTCTATCCCAAAAATGGATCGCTATCACACAAAGGCCAGATCTAAATGGACAAAGGACTTAAATTTGAGATGCAAATATTTAAAAATCTTTTAGAAGAAAATATAGGAGGGTAACTTATTACATGCCACACCTACTATGTGTACTTTGTTCGATGCAAGTGTTGTATATGAGTGTAGTATGTTAAGTGTAGATGCCTCTAAGCAGTATATGCATGCTTGCTACTTTACACACGTGAAACACTGGGAATGGGAGCATGAGAGGAAACCCTAGGTCATTCTGGTCTCCAGACTGCTGCTCCTGCCCACCCCCGGTTCCAGCACTCCCTTCCCCATTCTCCTATACAGATCCTCTGTTCCCGGCACAGCCACTTACAGCAGCTCAAGCCAGCGGCACCCACGGAGAGGCCCTCTTCACCCTACTGCTGGGCTGTCATGTCCCCTTTCTTTTCTTTCTGAAAAACAGTTTTCTCTGCCTGTGACTCCTCATGTTTCACTCTCTCTAAAGCACACGGAAGCCCGGTTCCCTCCTCTGCTTTATCAGACCTGTTGCTGTGAGTTCCACTAGTGACCCTGCATGACAAATTCGGAGGTTTGCTCCCTTTTGCATAGCGTAAAATGTTTACCTCGTGACCTACTTGATAAATACAATTTTATAATTGTTAAGCTATCTATATATTCTGTATCTGTTTTAAAAATTATGTATAGGCCAGGCAAGGTGGTTCACGCCTGTAATCCCAGCAGTTTGAGAGGCCGAGGCAGGAGGATCATGAATTCAGGAGATTGAAACCATCCTCGACAACATGGTGAAACTCCGTCTCTACTAAAAATACAAAAATTAGCTGGGCATGGCAGCAGGCACCTGTAATCCCAGCTACTCAGGAGGCTGCGGCAGGAGAATTGCTTGAACCAAGGAGGTGGAGATTGCAGTGAGCCAAGATTGTGCCACTGCACTCCAGCCTGGCGACAGAGTGAGACTCCGTCCTCACACACCCCCCCAAAAATATAAAGACAATGTCAGTTATGCCACACATAGATTGTTTTTATTCCATAAAACTGCTCTCCATATGTGTAATATGTTTCTACTTCACACATAGTTTTGATCAAAGATTAATCTATTTCATACTTTTCTTAGTAATTAATAAAACTCAGCTTGGATTTCTCTAGCCAGATAAAACACCTTATACTAAATGAATCAATCAAAGCTCTTTGTTGGAGTGAGATCTGAAAGCTTTCGCTCAAGCTGGCTGCCTCAGCTTCACAGCATCAAATAATGGAGGGAGAAGTGGAGGCTGACATGCAGCAAGAATGACTGTGTGTGTGTTGGAGAGATATTTTGTTTAATTCATTTACAAGATACTCATGCCACACTGCTACGTGCCAAACAGCTGTTCTTGCTACTTGGTAAAAATTAATCATCTAATAGTTGAAAAGTTAATTGTTGTAATGTGACTTCAGTATGGCCACTCTCCGGGATTGGGAGCCAAAAAAAAAAAAAGCATCACCATCATGATTGAGAAATGGAGTTACTGGCAGTAGTGGAGCAAACCACGATTCTGCACTTGGACACAGAATTATTCCTGACAAGATCCTGGCTCTTAACTCTTCCACCAAAACTGAGTCTGCAGCTCCCACACTGAAATGCTGCTCATTTCACCCCAAGTGTGTTCCAGCCGTTCCTTCTTCTTCTCCTTCCTACCAGCTCTGTAATGTCTCCATCACAATGCTAAGGTCAGGGTCAATGGCACCTCTTTTTAGAAACTTTCTGAGAGCCCTGGAAAGTAATCTCTTCTTGTTCTTATTCCATGATCTCCTGTACGTTCTTTTTCTTTTTTTTTTGAGACGGAGTCTCGCTCTGCTGTACCTTCTTTAAATCACTGATGATCATTTGTGTAGATGAGTTGTCTCCGTGTGTGTCTGACCTTTCTCCCAGTTGGTGAGTTTTGGAATCCAGGAAGCATTTTAGTAAAGTAATAGTTTTTAGTAATTTAGTTCACCTCTGTGCACCCTACAGCCGTTTCTCACATGTTGGGGCTGCCCAGTGAGCACTTGCTGAGGGAAACTGCAGGGAGACTTGCAGGTCAGGTTCACTGAGCCAGAAAGTGAAGCAAACTGAGAGGGCAAAGTGCATGAAACTGGCTGAAATATACGAACACACTGGGGAAACAAACATCTCCAGCCTCTGTGGAGGCGGAACACAGTTGCTGAGGTCTGTGATTCAGCAGCACCCACCTGGCAAAGCATGCCCAGCATCGGGCTTCGTTCTCCCATAGTGCTTTCATGGCGAGGAAGAAAAGCTATACATACTAACATGGGCCAGCTGGAAACCACAACTATATAGTATTGCTTTTCAGCTTTTCAGCTGGAATTCCGAAAGAATTCTGAGGTCATGTAGAATGCGGCATACTGTTAGATGGGGCCTGGGTGGGCTTGGTGTTAGAGGACCTGCCCCAGGTCATGGTCTGTGGTGCGGAGGGAGGGTGTGATTTCCCATCCCCTTCTTATCTCTTTGTCCCATCTTTTTTGCCCTGTACACACATGATCGTCCTCAATATCTTAAGTAGGATCTCCCATATAGCTAAAATTGACATTGGCATCTAAAGTATGCCTAACTTAGCTGAATATTTGGCCTTTGCCTTTAAAGGATCTGTAAGTTATTGGGATGAGACCAAGGAGAAAAAGGAAGACCATAGATAAGCATAATCTGCCATCCAATAATTTCATGACATGCTTATCCTTGGAATAAAGTTGACCTGTTATCAGGAAACTGTCCCACCATTTTTTTTGCATGTAGAGACCTCCATTGCTATGGCCTCCATTGTAATGGGCTGTCATTGGGTTTGAAAAAAGTCTACATGTTGATTTTCATGGCAATAAAAGAGTCAGAGGTGCAAGCTGGAACAAGGTGCTCGCCAAAGCTAGGCCTTTCCCCTCCCTCAGGAACTGGCAACAAGAGCAAGAGTTAGCTTCCTGAATGTTTGCATTTCAAAGAGAGAACTCTCAGGTCTTTGAGGAGACAATTCTGGGATGTAGATTTACACTTCAAAGGTGGAGAAAAATTTATAATTGCAAGCTTTCTAAGGTTCTAAGAGGGGATTCGGGGCTCTACCTGCCCATCACCAGGTTTTGCCTGAAACAAACAGTAAATTTTCTTTGCAAGTGAGCTTTTTCAGGCAGTCATTTTAAGAGGGCTGGGGTCATCCGCGGGACACCCTTGTGCTGCCGGAAGCCTCACTAGCGTTTGGTCCTCTCTTTGGACAGGGGTTTGGAAGTAGTTAAGTACTGCGAGGCCTGCATTCTCATGACCAAAGCTCACAAATGCCCATTTCTTTATTTCTTTCATTTTAATCTTTGAAATATTTATGTGTCTCTTAACACCTCTTGGAAATTTCCATCCCTTTCGAGCTATGTTCCAGTCAAACCAAACAAAGCGTGGCCCAGCAGCCCTGGGGAGTCTCTGGGTGAAGGGGAGATGAGCACACAAATGTTGAGAGTTTGAGAACCCCTGGCCTTGATTTTTATAATAGTTGGTCAAGTGGTCATCAGTGAAATCCACAGGGATTCCCTGAGAGTGTATAGCTTTGGCATGATGGTTGCTGTAATCTGAAGGGGAAAGTAGAAGTTTACATGTGAGTACTGAAGAAGCTTGAGACAGAGTCTCGCTCTGTCACCCAGGCTGGATGAAGTGGGGCCATCTGGGCTCACTGCAACCTCCGCAATTCTCCTGCCTCAGCCTCCCCAGTAGCTGGGATTACAGGCTCCTGCCACCACGTCCAGCTAATTATTTTTTTCTTTAAAATTAGTTTTTATTTAAAAAGTACAAATAGCACTTTACTTTTACTTTTGCAAAAAGTAAAGAAATGGTGTTTTGTTACAAAAATTAAACAAATAAATTTTGGATTGTAGAAAATTCATTAAAAACTCAAGTTTTAATTCAGTTAAAATCCATCTAGTGCTGTAAGTGTGGCTGTTGGCAGATGTCTTATTTATTTTTCATATATTAATTTATATTATTAATAACTAATTTTTTATTTATTATTCGTGAGCCCTTTCCCATGACAACTTCTTGGAAATTTCTTTCTCTCCCACTGACCTAGTATTATCTCTCAGGCATTCTTATTTAAAGTTTTTCCTCTCATTATTCCCTTCTTCACCATCATTCCCAGGTTGGTTACAAAGAACTAATTTAATGACCCATTTACTCTGAAGGGAGGCGCAAGAAGTGAAGCTTCTTTCTGAGGCCTTAAGGGATCTCACCTCCTTAAATCTCTGTTTTCCTACCCCTACTTCAGATATTATTGAGACATTATGTTTTCTTCCTCTACCTTCAGAAACTTCAGTATCAACAGGTCCAGATCTGCCTAAGCCCTCAGATGAGTCTGCAAACAATCATTGTGTCAACATTTGACTCATGCCTTGCAGATGATCCCAGGCACCACTGTCTTAACCTGTGAAAACCATAAATTCTTGGCACAAACAACTTCTTCTGCACATCCCTCCTCCTCATACATACACTAAGAGACTTGGCCAAATTCCAACACAGTGTCTATCAGCTCCGAGCCACGTCCCTACGATGCCCCATACCCCTCTAAAGCACCTGCCTGGGAACATTCAATTCTGCCAAAAGAATTTACTGTTTGTCCCACCCAAAACTTGACTATAGGTCCCTGACCTCCCATTTCTAAGAGGTTTAACTTTAGAAAACCTGCAATGGCCAGGCGTGGTGGCTCACACCTGTTATCCCAGCACTTTTGGAGGCCGAGGAGGGCAGATCACGAGGTCAAGAGATCGAGAACATTTTGGCCAACATGGTGAAACCCTGTCTCTACTAAAAAGAGAAAAATTAGCTGGGCGTCATGGCACACACACGCAATCCCAGCTACTCAGCAAGCTGAGGCAGGAGAATCTCTTGAACCTGGGAGGCGGAGGTTGCAGTGAGCCGAGATTGTGCTCAGAGTGAGATTCTGTCTGGAAAAAAAAAAAAAAAAAAGACAGATAACCTGCAGTTATAAACCCTTTCTCTGCCCCTTTAAATCTCCTACAACATGGAAATGTCTTTCTGAAAGACTTGGGAGCCATCCCTTTGGACTATAAGGATCAAGAAGGATACAGGATTGTCTCCTGGTCTCTGTCTCTGCGTAGGAACCTAATTTTGATAAGCACTATTAGCAAACACAGATGGCCTCATCACATTGACCAACCTTTCCCCAAACATCAGTCCATGCTTTTCCTTTAGCACACTCCAACATTTGCAGAGCCTCTTGCTTTTTGTTTCAGTGAAGTTGAGGCTTTCTAACATACTATAAATTGATATGTCTACTTATTGATTAGAAGACAGAAATTAATCACTGGATTTCATTATCACGCTGACTTTTAGGATTACAAGCAGCCTGTGGTTACAGATGCAACATCTTTACATTTCTAAGAAAAACAGGAGAGATTTGTCTTTGGCTCCTTTGGACCTCACTGATTAATGGAAAAGAGAGGATTGAGTAGGTTTGGATGATACAGCACAACTCAGTTTAAAGTTCCAGGCAAAGAAAGCAACGGTTATTTTTCACTCCAGAGAGTGAATCATTCTTTGGGGCCACAAAAGAGAAGATTTGAAGAATAAGCAGGGACATCTAGAAGGTGGCTGAGTGTACTCCATCGGGTTAAATTAAGCTATTTTGTTGTTGTTCAAATAGCTTCCCCACATGGTACATTTCATATCTAAAGTGTTATTCCCTCTCCCATCATTTTATTACATACGCAATATCTGGCTGAGAACCTCTTTCTTGCCCTCCTTCTTACTGGTTAAGAACACAAACAGTCCTCTCTTTGCACAGCAGTGCAGGGCCATACAAATCACTATGCAAGCTGAAGATCTGTAAAGTGACCTAAACAATCCATGTGAAACATCGACTGTTCTGTGTCATTTAAAAATTTTGGCCAAAACATTAAAAATCTCTTACTGTTGGTTATAAATGTATAAGGAAATGAAACATAGTGAAGTTAGTACTTTTTTTTTTTTTTGAGATGGAATCTTGCTCTGTCGCCCAGGCTGGAATGCAGTGGCGTGATCTCAGCTCACTGCAACCTCCACCTCCTGGGTTCAAGCTATTCTCCTGCCTCAGCGTCCCAAGTGGCTGGGACTATAGGCACGTGACACTACACCTGGCTGATTTTTTGTATTTTTAGTAAAGGTGGGGTTTCACCGTGTTACCCAGGATCGTCTTGATCTCCTGACCTCATGATCTGTCCACCTTGGCCTTGCAAAGTGCTGGGATTACAGGAGTGAGCCATCACGCCTGGCCAGTACTTAGTTTATACACTGTAATTTAAAACATTAAACAACAGCCAGTTAAAGTGCTTTATTTATTTATAGACGTGTATCAAGCCCAGTTTGAAAAGTGCTTGCCTCCCTCTTGTCGTATAGCTTATGATAAGGAGCCAGCAGTGTTTCTATGCCTTGGTGAACTGTCGTGCTGTTTTCGGAACAGCATCTAACATTGTCAACGTCATGCAATATCTACAAGAGTTCCTTTAATATGAAGTTTGTTGCTGTCTTTGCCGGCATCACTTCCTCTGGGGCTTCTTCATCCTTTTAATCACAGCTGCGTTCCTCATTTATGTCAGAACACTGCGTTGCGCCGAGTTCCTCTTGCCGCGTTTCCTGTGGTGAGCCAATTCTATGATTCCATTTACATTGTATTTGAATCCACTTCCAGGGTTATCACATTTTTTATTTCTTTGCTGCACATCAATGGTTGTTGACAAGTTTTTTCTTCTGATTATTCATATTTATAAATGTCACATGGGTTTCTCACTGGGAGACAAGGAATCAACACGATTGCAGACTTTGCTGTCTGTGTGCGAACTAGCTGATGCACATTGATCAGTCACTGGCAGGCTTTGAAGGAAGTGAATTGTGTTCCCCAAAAAAGATATGTTTGAAATCCTAATCCCCAATATCTCCAAATAATATCAGCTTATTTGGAAATAGCACATTTACAGAGGTTCTCAAGTTAAAATGAGGTCATTAGGGTGGGTCCTAATCCAATAGACTAACTGGTGTCTTATAGTGAAGGAGAATTTGGATACAGCTCCAGACACACACACAAAAAAGACGATGTGAAGACACACTGAGAAAATGCAGTGACATATCTGTAGGTCAAACAACACCAAGGATGGCTGGCAAACCCAAACAGGAAGGAGAGGGGAAGAAGGATTCTCCCCTAGAGCCAGCAGAGAGCATGAACCTACCAACACATTGATTTTTGACTTCTAGCCTCCACAACTACGAGTCAATACATTTCTGTTGTTTTAAGCAACCCGGTTTTTTGTACTTTGTTGCAGCATCCCCACAAGATTAATACAGTCCCTGATCATGATGCTTGTCTGTTATTTACTCACACAGGCATTTGTGGAATTAAGAGCTGGGAATGAAGTTTGGATTTTATGCAGTTGCTCACAGTTAGCATATGGTGGTAACCGAAATTGTAACCAGGTTGTTGGGAGACTAGTGCTATTTAACTAAACTATGTTAATTAAACCTGTGCATATTCAAATGTGCAAAGCCAGGACTGTTTTTACTTAGTTCAGGTATTTAGAGGGAAAGAATGTTTGCCTCTTTTCAGGGCTTTGGAGCATGCCCTGTGCCAGCAGGCCCCTTCCACAGCTACTTAACATCTCTTCTCGTCTTACTAGCCACCTCTCAACTCAGATGACCAGCAAGGCCATCTTTGACTATCAGAATGAAGTAGCCCGTCTCCACTTTTGATTACATTCATTTGCTTTATTGTCTTTACAGCATTTTTATTTACTAAAATAATAGTCTTTCATTACTTGATTCTTACCTTGATTCAGTACTTCTAAAAAATGCAGATTACAATTCAAATGAGAAACCAAGTTGACTAACGTTAAAACGTTTGATACTATTAAGTATTGTTGAGAATATAGATCTACCAGAACCTTTAACTTCTCATGGGAGCATAAATTGGAAAACAGTTCATTTTAACGTAGTAAAACCAACAGTATACAAATCTTTTGACACAATTATTTGAATGTTGGGTTTATACCTTAGAGAAAATCTACCTTTTATGTCCAGGAGACTCATACAAGAAAAGGACATCTAGTTTTGTAATAGAAAAAAATGGATAACCCCAATCTAATAAAATGGAATGCTCATTATAGTATTATCCTGTGATGGAATACTCTAAATCAATGCACAGAAAGTACAGACAAACATATCATAAGAATGAATTTTACAAATTAAATATTGAACCAAAAAGCAATTTCAGAAAAATATATTCAGTGTGATTCCATTTGTTTAAACTGAAAAATATGTGAAACAATAATGCTCAATGTCCTTTACTAATGCATTTATTTTGGCAAAATTATAAAGATAAGAAATGGGACTCATTAACAGGACAGTGTTAAGGACTCTAAAAATACGGGTAGTTTTTTATTCTTAGGCAGGTAATGTGTACATCAGTGTTCATTTTATTATTTCTTACACTGTCTTCATGACTTACACATAATATTTTGCTAGTTTTAAAACATAAGATGTGATAATAATCTAAACAGACCAAAGGAAAAAAATGAATATGTTAAAAAAAAGACAGAGAATGAGCCCTGTCTGATAGAAAGCATAACAAAGCAAGTAGAAGAACTCTCACGAATGCTTGATCCAATAAAGCTAGGTTTGTGCTCCACAACACTTCAGCATTTTAATGTGATTTTTGATGTTTGCTTTTTGCAACGGTGATTCCCAGTTGCCTCCCTCCTATGTCTTTACAAGCTGAAATCAAGTGAAGCTACTTCTGACTTTTTCTAAAACTAAAACACAACATGAAGGTCTGCGTATTCTTTCACATGTGCACATATGTGGCACTTTTCCATGATGCAACAGCAGCGGGTCTCTAGCTAAGCTACAGCAGCAGCTCTAAGAGGCAGGGGACCCTGAAACGAGGCTGAAAAAAAGAATAGTCCATAACTGACATCAGGCAGGCTGCTGTTGTAAGCAAAGAAAGGAGGCTCACAGGGGCGTGGACTCAGGCCAGATCAGGCTATTGTGGGAGAACACGGAGCACATGTGTCAGCTGGAAAGGGGCCGGCTCAGGAGACAAAATAGGCACGAGAGGAAACCCAAAAATTGACATACATGACTATCCTTGTAGAAATGTATAAAGGTTTGGATTATTTTGCTTATCGAGTTATAATAAAGTTATTCTAAAAATGTTTATGTAAAGTATTATGTACATTTTTGTTACCTTATAAAGATTATTTATATTTGAGTTGTGTGGTTTTGGAATGACAGTATTTGTAAACTTGGTTTTGACATTCTCTACGATGCTTAATGAAGAAACTGACATTTAAAGCGATTCATTAATTCTCTTTGGTCAGTAGCTGAGCTGGGACAGAGTTCAGGTTTTCTGATTCTCAGCCTATGTTGTTTTCTCTTCATTTTAATGTGAACCTAAATATGTATAGGATCTAGACAAATATGACATGTAGTGCCTTATTTCTTGTTTTCTCTGTAATGAATGGCAGGTGAGATAACTTTATTTACAGAAGCCATCCAGTGGCTCAGGTTGCATCAGGTTGCCTTTGAATCATTTATTCAACGTCAGGATGGTAAAGTGAGGAGCTTCCCCAAACTGAAGCAGAGTGGCATCTGTCCCAGGTTGTAGAGTATTCCCTGCCATAAATAAAGACATGCTGGTTCTTGTTATTTATACAGGCACTGGGGTTCCCATTAGCTCTTACATTTCATATGCTTAGAGCAAGAAGCTAGAGAGTGACTTAGGATACAGTGTAAATATATTAGTAAATTAAGACAGTTCTGCAAGATTTTTAGGACTTCTATTTTTCTTCTATTCATCATTTATGAAGTATTCTTGCTAGAAATAGTTTATGTCTCTCTATCTTGCTGAGTGATGAATACTCGGCCAGGATGCTAAAATGTGGTTTCATGAAGTATGTTGTGTTTCTGTCTGTTCTTGTTTCCTTCCTTGAAATGTGTAAAAGTGAAAAACATACTAATCATAAATCAGGTATTCATCATAAGCCTAAAAAAAGATAAAATAATCAGTAGTATCATTGACTAAAATTATTACTCACCAAAAGAAACTCACTCCAAAGTTAGCGCAATACTAACAGAGAATACAAGTTTTGCCAGGAATCACTGAGGCTTAGTACCTCACATGGGAAACATGGGAAGTAAAACCACCTGAGGAGCCACTTGATGGTGAGTCAGGCTGTTCCTCAAAGAGTAGGCTGTGACTGCCAAACTTTGTAGGTTAAGGAGTATTTATAATGATCTTTGAGGAAACTGCAACTGACAATTGAGGGAAAAAATGTTAGTTCATGACTGCAAAATACATGACAGAGTCACAAAAACTATTTTACAAGTTTAAAAAAAAAACCTGATGCTGATGCAAGGTAGGCGAACCCCAAAGTGGTGCTTAGCCTGCAAGGGTTCTTGGCTTCACCCAGGAAAGGATTCAAGGGCGAGCCAGTGGTAAGGTGGAAGAAAACACCTTTATCAAAGCAGCACTGTTACAGCTCCTGCAGGGTCACAGCTCAGTGACTGCTCCCAGGGTTGCCCCATAGGCAGGGTGCCGAGAGTAGCAGCTGAGCCCAGTTTTGCTGTCATATGTATACCTGCTTTTAATTACATGTAGATTCAGGGGTGGTTTGTGCAGAAATTGCTAGGAAAAGGGTGGTAACTTTTGGGTCATCAGGTCATTGCTGCTGAAAGGGGTGGTAATGCCTGAGTGTTGCCATGGCAATGGTAAACTGACAGGGCACACTGGTGGGTGTGTCTTACAGAAAGCTGCTTCCACCCTGTCCTTGTTTAGCTAGCCCTCAATTTTTTGTTTGTAAATGAGCAAGAGAGTCATGGCCTTGGCGTTTTATCCCAGAAGTACAGTGGACCCCAGAGCACTCTAGACCCAAGGGCTAAACCAAATCACAGCATCCCACAGTTGTGTCCAGCCCTCCATCACTGATTGGCTGCAATCCAACAAGTGGCCCAGAGGGGAGGGTTCATTGAAAGCTCTTTGCTAAGTGACAGGTCTTTAAGAAGGAAAAGGCTCTTAAAGATTGGTATGGGATGGGGGAAGTGTTTGTGGTCACCACGGCACCCCAAGGCTGTGGCCTTCTCTGAGCACCATGAGACTCAGCCATGTCTTTCTCTCTGTTTTCCCACAAAACCAGCCAGTGCTGAAGCATATCCTCCTGGCCTACAAACAGTGGCCATGACTTCCAACTCATCCAGGCTACTTCTGATTTAGTGTTAGGCCGCCCACTTGATGTGTATGTTCCCATGCTGTGTTGACCCTATTACTTAATGAAAACACACAGCACTCGTTTGCTTCTCGACTTACTTCTCATGAAATATCACTATGCCTCCCCACCCAATCACAATCCTTTGCTGCCAAAAATCCCTTGCTACCCTGTACATTTTGTCCACTAAGGGAACCCCTCAGCACACACACACAATGGTGCTACTGAAACCAGATCACTGTCTCATTTAGGTTAGATATGTCAGAAACCCTTCTCTCCTAAGTCGACCTGATGCTCTATGTCAATCGCTCCTACTTCTGGAAGGAGGTTGGGACCTTCCAGCCTGGATATGCCATCACTCATCTACACAAAACTCTTGAATGCCAAGCTTTGCCACACGTTAAATCAGCCAAAGTGGCTAAATTAACTGTTCTCATTCAGGCTTATATAAGGCAGAGGGAATTAAGATTAGCACCTACAGTGACAGACACTGGGTCTTTGGTGTAGTGCATGATTTTGGTATGTTTTGAAAACAGAGAGGATTCATGACAGCAACTTGTCCCCAGTCAAAAGTAAACCCCAAATAGCAGAACTTCTAGAGTCATTGCTATTGCCCCAGCTAGTTGTTACAGTTAAAGCTGAGGGATATAGTATAAAATACTCAGATGAGGCTCAGGGAAATAAATTGGCTGATAAAGGTGCTAAGCTAGCATCCTCTTCCTTGGCCGCCTAAGAAATCCAGGAAGTCTCCAAACCTTGTGACTAGATACCTGGGCTTCATTTCAAATACCCACAGTCCTGCTAGGATTATTTACCCTCTTTAAATAAATTGACAGAAGCAATGTCTTTACAATGCCTCTAAAGGAAATGTAAAATTCACACAGCCCAGATAACAATTTCAGAGTCAGAAAGAATTGGATGAGAAAAAGGTGAATGTTTGATCCACTTAAGTGGACTTCAGAAATACCCAGATGGCCATTTGATAACTCCTAAGTCTGTCTCCCAAGTCATTGTGTACAATTTGCTCATCCAGATTTACCACAGAAAGGATAACATGTAGTATATATTAAACAAAACAATATGGCTTGGACTCTTTAGATTTTATTTGGACCAAGCTGTTGCCATTTGCTGCATCTACCAACAACATAATCCTCCAAAAAGCATAAAGGTGGGGCAAAAAAGGGAAGTGGCTCCCTCTACATCCTTCCTTCACTGGAAAATAGGCTTCCTTCACTGGAAAATAGAATGGGAGGCTTTCCCTGTTGAAACTCCTCAAGGACATCGGTTGCCAAGGTTTATTAAGAGTGAATCTTCCCCACATGGGTTATCCCCTCTACTGCCTCTAGTGACAGAGGATCACATTTCACTGGCAAAATTATTCAGGAAATAGGAAAGGTTACACACACCAGCCAAATATTCCACTGGACTTACCATCCTCAGTGATAAAGTTCTATACAAAGAGCCAACAGCATCCTCAAGCTGAACTGGCTAAACTGTCTGAAGAAAGAACTTGCCATGGCCACAGATATTACCCATCACACTGACTCTCAGATCCTTGGCCCTACCTTCACACAAACGATCCTCTTTGAATCATTACGGGATACCCATGAGAATACCCTACTAATGCAAACTAGCAGAAGATTCCAAACTAACTCAGTTCAACAACCTCAGATATTGTCAGGGATTAATTAAATACACACAGCCCCACTATACTCCACAATTGAGGCTTCTTGTATCTTTAAACTCCCTGATCAGTCCTTACTTGCTTCATAAGTAAGTGATCTGGCATTTTGAAAAAACACCAACATCAGAAAACTAACCTTGAACCCAGAGGGAGGGGACCTTTTATTGTTTCACTCATTGCTAACACTGCTAACAAATTACAGAGTGTTTGAACTTGGGTGCATGTCTTTTAGTTGAAAAAATACAAAATCTATTTCAATTGGAAGGCACTCTAACCAGAGACTCACGCTGAGACTCTATGAACAACCTCCAGGCCAGGCGCGGTGGCTCACGCCTGTAATCCCAGCACTTTCGGAGGCCGAGGCGGGCGGATCACGAGGTCAGCAGATAGAGACCATCAGGTGAAACCCCGTCTCTACTAAAAATACGAAAAAATTAGCCGGGCGCTAATTGGCGGGCTCCTGTAGTCCCAGCTACTCGGGAGGCTGAGGCAGGAGAATGGCGTGAACCCGGGAGGCGGAGCTTGCAGTGAGCCGAGATTGAGCCACTGCACTCCAGCCTTGGGAACAGAGCGAGACTCAATCTCGAAAAGGAAAGAAAAAAAAAGAACCTCCAAACTTTGCAGCGAGCAGAGATTGCACCACTGCACTTCAGCCTGGGTGACAGAGCAAGACTCGGTCTCAAAAAAAAAAAAAAAAAAAAAAAAAGAAAAGGAAAGGAAAGAAAAGAAAAGAACCTCTAAAAGTAGCCAACAGCTGGAGACAGACATCCATCCTAAGAACTACGGAGCAAGTAAATGATATGATGAAGCAGTCCGCTTCTGCCAAAGATCATGAAACAAGATTCACTCCGATTCCCCTCCCCTGTCTCTGACTTCAATTTTGGGTCTACGCATTCTGCTACTACTCCTGTGTCCTCTACAACGTCCCATCTTTATCCTAGTGATGTGTCCTACTTACAACATATATACTCCATCTCCAGCCTCAGCAGCCCTGTCATGATTCCCCTCTGTTTCCTCATCTTACCCTATCCCGTGCTTTCCTCTCATGACCATAATTCCCTCGGTCTCTTAGCTGACAAAGTAGCCAATGAAATTAACCGAAGTAATTGCCGGGTCTATGCCCATTCCCACTCTATCCTAAAACTGGTATTCCCTTAATAATTGTCTCCCTTATGCTTTAGATATGGCCTTGGCAGAAAACATTACAAATATACAGCCATTTAGGTCTCCCTTTTAGAAAGATATTGGGCTATTTCTTAAAAGCCCTTGTGACTGGGAGTATGATGTGGCCTCTTTAACCTAAGAAACGTGGTGTTTTACTAGAAATCAGTCTAATAAATACAGTCACCCTGTGGAACACAGTAGATGCTCTGTGTCCTTGTGAAAAGATGAAACCTATTTTCAAGAAACAGACATTCTTTGTAAGGGCCAAACTCCCATTAAGGACAGCATTGTCTGCAATACCCACGCAATACCAGTATCATAGGAAATTATTTTACTCCAGATCAATATTTTGGTGAACTGAAAGACTGGGCAAAAAATTGCTGGCTAAATGGTACCAAAGTACCCAGCCATTTAGAAGATGATGTTTATAACTATCTCTTTGGAGTCTATTCCAGGTTAGCTCCTCTAGCCTCTGTTACAACCACTAGAGGCAATAACCAACACTAGTATGCCCTCAAGGGACATTATTTAGTATGTGGTCATAAAACCATACAAAGTACTTCCAGCCCATTGGGCTGGCTGCTGCGATGTGGCTTATGCTGTCCCTCAAATGGAAATGTATGAAAAATTTCCCAATGGAAACATTAGAAACATGAGCGCTCCCACAATTGCTGAGCCTGAAACTTGTGAATGGATAATGGCTGGATGACAAGCAGCCTTAAACAGGTCCGGGGAGAGCCGCTTGCTCAGGCCAAACTTACAGGGTGCTCTACTCTTGATATTCTACCCTTTGTCACCAACATAGGTCAGCCAACTCCTATGCTGTAAGATACATCTGACAAAGGACTAGTATCCAGAATCTAAAAGGAACTCCAACAAATTAGCGAGAAAAAAAACACATAATCCTACTAAAAAGTGGGCAAACGACATGAATAGATATTTCTCAAAAGAAGATATGGAAACGGCCAACAAATAAATGAACAAATGCTCAACATCACTAATCATCACGGAAATTCAAATTAAAATCACAGTGAGATACCATCTAGTCAGAATTGTCTTACCCTAGCCAAAAGGTTAAAACACAAACAAACAAAAACAGATGTTGGCACAGATGTGATGAAAGAGAATGCTCATACACTGTTGGTGGGAATGTAAATTAGTACAACTTCTATGAAAAACAATGTGGAGATTTCTCAAGGAACTAAATGTAGATCTACTATTCAATCAGCAATCCCACTACTGGTATCTACCCAAGGAAAAGAAGTCATTATATATAAAGAACACTTGCACATGGATGTTTATCACACACAATTCACAATAGCAGAGATAGAGAATCAAGCTGAGTGCCTATCAACAGAGGAATGGATAAGGAAAATGTGGTATATATAAAAAATGGAATACTACAGGCCCAGCCAGGTTGCTCACGCCTGTAATCCCAGCAGTTGAGGAGGCCGAGGCAGGTGGATCATGAGGTCAGGAGTTGAAGACCAGCCTGGCCAAGAGGGTGAAACCCCATCTCTACTGAAAATACAAAAATTAGCTGGGCATGGTGGCGGGCACCTGTAATCCCAGCTCCTCGGGAGGCTGAGGCAGAGAATTGCTTGAACCCGAGAGGTAGAGGTCGCAGTGAGCTGAGATCACACCACTGCACTCCAGGCTGGGCAACAGAGCGAGACTCCATCTCAGCAACAACAACAAAAAGGAATACTACTTAGCCACACACGCACACAAATGTCTTTTGCAGCAACTTGGAACTGGAGGCCATTACCATAAGTGAAGTAACTCAGGAATGGAAAAACCAAATACTGCATGTTCTTACATATAAGTGGGAGCTAAGCTATGGGTACACAAGGTATACAGAGGGGCATAATGGACATTGGAGGCTCAGAGAGGAAGGGAGAGGGATAAAAAAAAATCACCTCTTGGGTACACTGTAAATTATTTGGTGACAGATACAGTAAAAGCCCAGACTTCTCCACTATACAATTTATTCATATAACCAAAAACTATTTGTACCCCTTAAGCTATTGAAATAACAATTTAAAAAATAATTAGTAGAGTTCATCTCAAACTTAATATAAGCTTTTGTTTCATAAATCCATGAGGTATTGGAGCTTCTCAAAATGACTTTACAAAACTAGCTCACCTTAGACTACATACTGGGTTTTCAAGAAGGTGCTTGTGCACTGGTGAGTTCCCAATGCTTTTCATTCATGAATGATAAAGAGAAATGAATCAAGAAGTCGTGGCAGCACGTGCCTGAGAAGCAGCCAACATAGCTCACGCCCCTCCAGACAGGCTTAGTCTCTAAGGAGAAAATGGTTTCCCCAGCCAAATGGCTTAGGAGACTTTTTAAGGGACTTGGCTTTTTTTTTTTTTCTTTTAACTTTTATTGTAAGGTCAGGGGTACATGTGAAGATTTGTTACAAAGGTAAACTCATGTCATGGGGTCTTGTTGTACAGGTTATTTAATCACCCAGGAATTAAGCCCAGTACCCAACAGTTACTGTTTCCACTCCTCTCCCACCTCCCACACTGCATGCTCAAGCAGACCCCAGTGTCTGCTGTTTCCCTCTTTGTGTTAATAAGTTCTCATCATTTAGCCTTCACTTACAAGTAAGAACATGCAGTATTTGGTTTTCTGTTCCTGCGTTAGTTGCTGAGGATAATAGCCTCCAGCTCTAGCCATGTTCCTGCAAACGACATAATCTCATTCTTTCTTACAGCTGCATGGTACTCCATGGTGTATATGTACCACACTTTCTTTATCCAATCTGTCATTGATGGGCATTTAGGCTGATTCCATGTCTTTGCTATTGTGAATATTGCTGCGATGAACATTTACATGTGCAAGTGTCTTTATGGTAGACTGGTTTATATTCCTCTGGGTATATACCCAGTACTGGGATTACTGAGTTAAATAGCAGTTCTGCTTTTAGCTCTTTGAGGAATCACCATATTGCTTTCCACAATGGTTAAACTAATTTACATCCCACCAATGTGTCTAAGTGTTCCTTTTTCTCTGCATTCTCACCAGCATCTGCTATTTTTTGACTTTTTAACAATAGCCTTTCTGACTGGTATGAGACAGTATGTCACTATGGTTTTGATGTGCATTTCTCTAATGATTAGTGATAGATATTGAAGTTTTTTTCATATGCTTGTTGGATGCGTGTCTTCCTTTGAAAAGTTTCTGTTCATGTTCTTTGCTCACTTGTTAATGGAGTTGTTTGTTTTTCTCTTGTAAATTTGTTTAAGTTCCTTATAAATGCTGGATATTACACCTTTGTCGGATGCATAGTTTGCAAATATTTTCTCCCAATCTGTAGGTTGTCTGTTAACTCTGTCCATAGTTTCTTTTGTTGTGCAGAAGCTCTTAAGTAAATTGGATCCCCCTTGTCATTGTTTGCTTTCGTTGCAATTGCTTTTGGCGTCTTTGTCATGAAATCTTTGCCTATTCCTATGTCCAGGATTGTATTGCCTAGTTTGTCTTCATGGGTTTTCATAGTTTTGGGTTTTACACTATGTCTTTAATCCATTTTGAGTTGATTTATGTATTTGGTGTAAGGAAGGGTGGTGTAAGGAAGAGTGGATGCTTCAGTTTTCTGCATATGGCTAGCCAGTTATCCCAGCACCATTTATCAAATAGGGAATTGTTTCCCCATTGCTTGCTTTTGTCAGCTTTGTTGAAGATCAGGTGGTCATAGGTGTGCAACCTTATTCTGGGCTCTTGATTCTGTTCTGTTGGTTTATTTGCCTGTTTTTGTACCACTACCATGTTGTTTTTGTTACTGTAGCCCTGTAACATAGTTTGAAATTGGGTAACATAATGCCTCCAGCTTTTCTCCTCTTTACTTAGGATTGTCTTGGCTATTCAGGCCTTATTTTTTTGGTTCTATATTAATTTTAAAATAGTTTTCCTAGTTTTGTGAAGAATGTCATTGGTAGTTTGATATGAATAGTATTGAATCTGTAAATTGCTTTGGGCATTATGACCATTTTAATTATGTTGATTCTTCCTATCCATGAGCCTGTGATATTTTTTCATTTGTTTGTGTCATCTCTGATGTCTTTGAGCAGTGTTTTGTAATTCTCATTGTAGAGAATTCTACACCTCCCTGGTTAGCTGTTTATCAGCTAAAGGAGCTTTTGGGCTGAAGGTATGAGGCTTCTGGATATAACATCATGTCATCTGCAAACAGAGATAGTTTGACTTCTTCTTTTCCTATCTAGATGCTCTTTATTTCTTTCTCTTTCATGATTGCTCTGGCTAGGAATTTCACAACTATTTTGAATAGGAGTGGTGAGAGAGGGCAGACTTGTTTTGTGCCAGTTTTCAAGGGCAAAAAGCTTCCAGCTTTTGCCCATTCAAAGTGATATTGGCTGTGGATGTGTCATAGATGTCTCTTATTATTTTGAGGTATATTCCTTCAATACCTACTTTGTTGAGAGTTGTTAACATGAAAGGGGGTTAAATTTTATCAAGAGCTTTTTTTCTGCATTGATTGAGATAATCATGTGGTTTTTGTCTTCAGTTCTGTTTATGTGACGAAATCACATTTATTGATTTGCATATGTAGAACCAACCTTGCATCCCAGGAATGAAGCCTATTTGATCATGGTGGATTAGCTTTTTGATGTGCTGCTGGATTTGGTTTGCAAGTATTTTGCTGAGGATTTTTGCATTGATGTTCATCAAGGATATTGGCCTGAAGTTTTCTTTTTGGTTGTTGTGGCTCTGCCAGGTTTTAGTATCAGGATGATGGTGGCCTCATAGAATGTGCTAAAGAGGAGTCACTCCTTCTCAATTTTTCGGGGGGTACTTTCCCTAGGAATGGTACCAGTTCTTTGTACATCTGGTAGAATTCAGCTATGAATCCATCAGGTCCTGGGCTTTTTTTGGTTGGTAGGCTATTTGTTACTGGTTCAATTTTGGAGCTTGTTGCTGGTCTGTTCAGGCAATCAATTTCTTCCTGGCTTAGTCTTGGGTGGGTGTATGTGTCCAGGAATTTATCCATCTTTTCAAGGTTTTCTAGTTTGTGTGCATTGAGGTGTTCATAGTAGTTTTTAGTGGTTATTTGATTATTTTTATTTTTGTGCAGTCAGTGTTAACATTTTCCTTTCTGTTTTTTTTTTTTTTTTTTTTTTGAGACAGAGTCTTGCTTTGTCATCCAGGCTGGCGTACAGTGGCACCATCTTGGCTCACTGCAGGCTCTGCCTCCTGGGTTCAAGCAATTCTTGTGCCTCCGCCTCCTGAGTAGTTGGGACTACAGTTGTGTGCCACCATGCCCAGCTAATTTTTGTATTTTTAGTAGAGAGGGTTTCACCACGTTTGTCAGGCTGCTCTCAAACTCCTGGCCTCAAGTGATCTACCCGCTTCAGTCTCCCAAAGTGCTGGGATTACAGGTATGAGCCACCACACCGGGCCTCAAAATTTTAGTAGTGTTTATTTGGACGTTCTCTCTTTTTTTCTTTATTATTCTAGGTGTTGGCCTATCTTATTAATTTTTTCAAAAAAAATCCTGGATTCAACAATCTTTTGAATTATTTTTGTGTCTTTGATTTTCTTCCATTCAGCTCCAATTTTGGTTATGTCTTGTTTTCTGCTAGCTTTGGGGTTGATTTGTTATTGCTTCTGTAATTCTTTTAGTTGCGATATTACGTTGTTAATTTGAGATCTTTCTAACTTTTTGAGATTTTTCTAACTTTTTGATGTGGGCAGGTAGTGCTATGAATTTCCCTCTTATCATTGCCTTACCTGTGTCCCAGAGATTCTGGTATGTTGTATCTTTGTTCACATTATTTTCAAAGAACTTCTTGATTTCTGCCTTAATTTCATTATTTACCCAAAAGTCATTCAGGAACATGTTGTTTAATTTCCATGTAATTGTATGGTTTTGAGTGATTTTCTTAGTCTCAACTTTTATTTTTACTGCACTGTTGTCCAAGAGTGTGTTTGGTAAGAATTCGGTTCTTTTACATTTGCTAAGCGTTGTTTTATGTCCAATTATGTGGCTGATTTTAGAGTATGTGCCATGTGGTGATGAGAAGAATGTATATTCTGTTGTTTTTGAGTGGAGAGTTCTGTAGAAGTCAATCAGATACATTTGATCTAATGTTGAGTTCAGGTCCTGAATATGTTTTTTAATTTTCTGCCTTGGTGATCTGTCTAATAACTGTTAGTGGAGTGTTGAAATCTCCCACTGTTATTGTGTGAGACTCCGTGTCTCTTTGTAAGTCTCTAAGAACTTGCTTTATGAATCTGGGTGCTCCTGTATTGGGTGCACATATATTTAGGATAGTTAGATCTTCTTGTTGAATTGAACTCTTTACCATTATGTAATGCTCTCCTTTGTCTTTTTTGATCTTGCACTTGGCTTCTTAAAAACATCCTTAATGGCAATATTCTTTGTCTCTTAAGTACACCACTATTCTTCTTTTTTTTTTTTCTTTTCCAGATAGAGTCTCACTCTGTCACCAGGCTGGAGTACAATGGCACTATCTCTACTCACTGCAACCTCCCCCTCCTGGTTCAAGCGATTCTCCTGCCTCAGTCTCCTGAGTAGCTGGGACTACAGGCGTGTGCCACCATGCGCAGCTAATTTTTGTATTTTTAGTACAGATGAGGTTTCACCATGTTGGCCAAGATGGTCTCGATCTCTTGACCTCGTGATCCACCCACCTCAGCGTCCCAAAGTGTTGGGATTACAGGCATGACCCACCAAGTGCATCTCTATTCTTATGAGACAATTGTGCCACCATTGATAGTACACCAAACCTCCTCGATTGTTGCATTTACCACCTTGACTCTTCCTGAATTGCACAATGATGATAAACAATGGCTGAACTTTTTTCTTTTGAGGACTTTGGAGTGCAACAACTATATTTATTCTACGAGAAAGAAATTCATTCTTTCTCTTGAACAAGAGGAGGGACTGTGAACTTCCCTGAAGCAAAAAGGATTTGCCTAAACACTGTGCTAAGAGACTTGACCTAACATTAGCCTGGCTTCCACTTGGAGTAGTTAACCCCAGGCCCTGCGCTGAGTCTTTGCTCAAGAAAATACAATGCTGCCAAACTACATAATGTATATTGTCGTAACTGATGGTGTCAAATCATTTCCAGTAATTCTCTACTTACCCCCCGCTTTTTTTTTTTTTTTGAGACGGAGTCTCCCTCTCTCCCCCAGGCTGGAGTGCAGTGGCGTGATCTCAGCTCACTGCAAGCTCCCCCTCCCAGGTTCACGCCATTCTCCTGCCTCAGCCTCCTGAGTAGCTGGGAGTACAGGAGCCCGCCACCATGTCCAGCCAACTTTTTGTGTGTTTTTAGTAGAAACGGGGTTTCACCGTGTTAGCCAGGATGGTCTCGATCTCCTGACCTCGTGATCTGCCCGCCTCGGCCTCCCAAAGTGCTGGGACTACAGGCGTGAGCCACCGCGCCAGACTCTTACCCCCTTTTATAATTTGCATTTTCACGTAGTCCTCAGTCCCTTTTTTAATTCCCCTCTTTTTACTTTTCCATAGTTTCTTTTTATTTCCCATTTGTTCTATTTTTAAAAACATCAGCCTCCTTTGTCTTACTTGGAGTTGAGCTTAGTTTATACTGAAGTCTCTCCCTCCTGCTGAAATAGTCTGAGTAAAATAGGTCTCATTGCCTTTAGCAAGTATCCAGCACTGCTGTTTTTCTTTGACAATTTCTAGGGTTGCCTTAGATGAAGTGGGGTGAAAGGGCATTAGAAGGCACAGGCCAAAAGATCAGAACTCTGGACTCTCAGTCCCAAATTCTACTAGCAGAACTCCTTTTTCATATTCTTCATACACTGGGGGCTTTGCTGAGAGTTTGCTGGACTGAATATAGGAAGAACAACAGACTTCTGAAGTTAGTCACATCTGTCCTTGATTCAATTATACAAACATGAGGATTCTCAAAGTTATGATTTTTTTCCTAGAAATACTTTATTTTCAGGAAATATTTATTTAGCGTTGATGACTTGAGTATTAATCTCAAGGCAAGGAAATGAGGGAAATGACCTCCTGATGTCTTTCCCATGAATCTGTAACTCGGTGGTCAGCTTCTTCCCAAGTTATTTTTCTTGTGGCATCTCAGTGATTTTATTAGTTTCACCACAAGTACTCCCAGCAAGGGAAATCAGTGATCCCAAAGGCACCAGGCTGGAGTTTTCCCGCATAAAGATCACTCTTCGAAGCAGCTCCTTCCTAGAAATTTGTTATGTTTACCTTTGCCAATCATCTATGATTAGTGTAGTAATTATTCTGTTTTTGCTATCTTTTATTTTTGATACTCACTGAAGGCTTCACTTATCAACGATTAAGGCATGTGCTTCTGCTTTGATTCAGTGTCTTCTTAGTATGAGCATGGTGGTATAATTCTCTTGAATCAGTGCTGGGATTTATTTGATTATGAAAATTTATTTTCATTCAGGTATTTTAAATGCACTTTTAATATTAAGTACATTTAATATTACATGTAATATTAACTTGAAGTGTAACTAATATGAACAAATTCCAAAGTACATGAAAATAACTTTTAATCCTGTAAGTATGACTATTTAATTTATTTCTTTTCACAATATAAAAAGCACATGCGATATTTTGAAAGACTATTAAAGGTGGGGACAAGAGGTTATTTAAATCTATGTTTGGATGCAACTTTTATGGCTTAAACTACAAAGAATTATCCTTTTTATATATTAAATGATTGTATAGTTCTTTTAATACTGTTTTTTGATACAAGTGTGAAATTCTTAAAGAAAATGGCAAACATCACTAACAACCATTACAATTCTAATAGCTAACTTTTCTGAGCCATTACTTGGAACCATGCACTGTTTAAAATGCCTCACTTGGCCAGGCACGGTGGCTCATGCCTGTAATCCCAGCACTCTGGTAGGCCGAGGCAGGCAGAACACGAGGTCAGGAGATCGAGACCATCCTGGACAACATGGTGAAACTCCGTATCTATTAAAAATACAAAAATTAGCCTAGTGTGGTGGTCTGTGCCTATAGTCCCAGCTACTCAGAAGGCTGAGGCAGGAGAATCGCTTGAACCGGGGAGTTGGAGGTTGCAGTGAGCCAAGATCGCGCCACAGGACTCCAGCCTAGCGACAGAGCCAGACTCCGTCTCAAAACAAACAAAAAACAAAAAAAATTCCTCACTCATCTCACTCATGTAATCATGACAATAACATTAATTGTATTATCCCTACATTACAGATGACAGGTGACAAAAATATGCAGAGAGGGGTTAAACTGCATAACATTACTCAGAGAATGCATTCTTTTTATTCCATAGGTTTTTTGTATTACAGTACTACATTCACAGAGGGCTTCCATTGGAAATAACTTATAGGAATTATTGTAGGTCTCTTTGCACTTTCTTCAGCTCTTGGTTTAGGTCTCAAATTGTGAGTGATTTCTCTCTTTAGTGAAGTTGTAATGCAATTCATTACCATAGCAGAAAGCACAGAAAATATTACCTATTTATTAACTGGAAATGCACTCACATGTTGTATTAGTCCATTCTCATGCTGCTATGAAGAAATATCCAAGACTGGGTAATTTATAAAGAAAAGAGGTTTAATTGATTCACAGTTCCACATGGCTAGGGAAGCCTCAGGAAACTTACAATCATGGCAGAAGGCACCTCTTCACAGGGTGGCAGCAGAAATAATGAGTTTTGAGCAAAGGGGAAGCCCCTTATGAAATGATCAGATCTCATGAGAACTCACCCATCATCATGAGAACAGCATGGGGACAACTACCCCATGATTCAATTATGTCCACCCGATCCTACCCTTTACACTTGGGGATTATGGAAACTGCAATTCAAGATGCGATCTGGGTGGGGACACAGAGCTAAATCATATCACTCTGTCCCTGGCCCCACTCCAAGTCCCATGTCCTCACATTTCAAAACAATCATACCTTTCCTACACTTCCCCAAAGTCTTAGCTCATTACAGCATTAACCCAAATGTCCAAGTCCAGAGTTTCATCTGAGTCAAGTCCCTTCCACCTATGAGCCTGTAAAATCAAAAGCAAGTTAGTTACTTCCTAGATACAATGGAGGCACAGGCATTGTGCCTGTAAATACACCCATTCCAAATGGGAGAAATTGGCCAAAACAAAGGGGCTACAGGCCCTATGCAAGTCTGAAAAACAATAGGGCAGTCATTAAACCTTAAAAGTTCCAAAATGTTCTCCTTTGATTCCAGGTCTCACATCCAGGTCACACTGATGCAAGAAATAGGCTCCCATGGCCATGGGCAGCTCCACCCCTGTGGCTTTGCAGGGTACAACCTCCCTCCTGGCTGCTTTCATGGGCTGGCATTGAGTGTCTGTGGCTTTTCCAGGGGCACAATGAAAGTTGTCAGTGGAGCTACCATGCTGGGGTCTGGAGGACGGTAACCCTCTTCTCACAGTTCCACTAGGTAGTACCCCAGTGAGGACTCTGTGTGGGGGCTCCAACCCCACATTTCCCTTCTGCACTGTCCTAGCAGAGGTTCTCCATGAGGGCTTTGCCCCTGCAGCAAACTTCTGCCTGGGTATCCAGGCATTTCCATACATCTTCTGAAATCCAGGTGAAGGTTCCCAAACCTCAATTCTTGACTTCTGTGAACCCACAGGCTCAACACCACATGGAAGCCTCCAAGGCTTGGAGCTTGGACCCTCTGAAGCAATGGCCTGAGCTGTACCTTGGCCCCTTTTAACTGTGGCTGGAGCTGAAGCAGCTGGGAGACAGGGCACCATGTCTCAAAGCTGCACAGAACAGGGGGTCCTGGGCCCATGAAACCATTTTTCCCTCCTAGGTTTCCAGGCCTATGATGGGAGGGGCTTCCAAGAAGGTCTCTGACATGCCCTGGAGACATTTCCCTCATTGTCTTGGCAATTAATATTCCACTCCTTGTTCTGCAAATTTCCGCAGCTGGCTTGAATTTCTCCCAAGAAAATGGGTTTTTCTTTTCTATCGCCTTGTCAGGCTGCAAGTTTTCTAAACTTTTATGCTCTGCTTCCTCTTGAACACTTTGCTGCTTAGAAATTTCTGCCACGAGATACCCTAAATCATCTCTCTCAAGTTCAAAGTTCCACAGCTCTCCGGGTCAGGGGCAAAGTGTTGCAGTCTCTTTGCTAAAGCATAGAAAGAATCACCTTTATCCGAGTTCCCAACAAGTTCCCCATCTCCATCTGAGACCACCTCAGCCTGGACTTCATTTTCCATGTCACTGTCAGCATTTTGGTAGAAGCCATTCAAGTCTCTAGGAAGTCCCAAACTTTCCCACATCTTCTTGTCTTCCAAGCCCTCCAAGTCTCTAGGAAGTTCCACACTTCCCCACATTCTTCTGTCTTCTTTTTTTTTTGTTTTTGAGATGGAGTTTCGCTCTTGTTGCCCAAGCTGGAATGCAGTGGTACAATCTCTGCTCACTGCAACCTCCACCTCCCATGTTCAAGCCATTCTCCTGCCTCAGCCTCCCAAGTAGCTGGGATTACAGGCATGCACCACGATGCCCAGCTAGTTTTATATTTTTAGTAGAGATGGGGTTTCACCATGTTGGCCAGGCTGGTCTCAAACTCCTGACCTCAGGTCATCCACCTGCCTCGGTCTCCCAAAGTCCTGGGATTACAGGGATGAGCCACCACACCCAGCCTTTACTGTCTTCTTCTGAACTCTCCAAACTATTCCAACCTCTGCCTGTTGCCCAGTTCCAAAGTCACTTCCACATTTTAGGGTATCCTTATAACAGCACCCTATGTCTGTGGTACCAATTTACTGTATTAGTCTGTTTTCATGCTGTTATGAAGAACTACTCAAGACTGGGTAATTTATAAAGAAAAGTTTAATTGACTCATAGTTTGACATGGCTGGGCATGCCTCAGGAAACTTACAATCATGGCCGAAGGCACCTCTTCACAGGGTGGCAGCAGAAACAATGAGTTTTGAGTGAAGGAAGAAGCCCCTTATAAAACCATCAGATCTTGTGAGAACTCACTATCACGAGAACAGCGTGGAGAAAACCACTCCTATGATTCAATCATGTCCATCTGGTCCCGCCCTTGACACATGAGGATTATGGGAATTACAAGATTACACATTAATCTTAAATTACACATTAATAAGTGTGTAATGAAACATCCCCTTTTTTTATTTGAGTTCATTTCAATAGATATGGAAATAATAGAAAATGCATCTGACATCAAATTCCTGGGAAGTACAGGTAAAAAAAAAATACCAGATGTTTAAAGGTATTTGAATAAGTAAATGTTGCAGTCTGTACTTTATCAGTTAGCTATGATACAAAAAACAATGCATGGCAGTTGCTTGTCAATTTTGTGATTTATTCAGAAACATACATCTCTGCATGCACTTACAGTTTTATACGGCAGTGCAAAATGTCAAAAGCACTGATGTTGCTCAAAGGAAATGTTAAGGAACTAACTAAGGCTCACTCCAAATTCCTTCACAAACCCGTCCAATCCTGTGAGTGTCGAGGGGCCTTCACATCACAGCCTGCATCCTGACAGGCCCTGTGAGACCCATCCCGCTTCATGGAACGTGAGTCAGCAGCTCAGAGAAGGACAAGGACATCTACATAACTGGCTCGAAATATTCAACTTTTCAAAATTTTATATTTTCATACATATAAATATATATTCTTAAAATGCATTTTTGTTTTTCTATCCGAACAGAAGTGCAATAATTCTTTAAAAATATTCCTAAACAGACCGGGGCAGTGGCTCACACCTGTAATCCCAGCACTTTGGGAGGCCGAGGCAGGTGGATCACGAGATCAGGAGATTGAGACCATCCTGGCTAACATGGTGAAACCCCGTCTCTACTAAAAATACAAAACATTAGCCAGACATGGTGGTGGGCGCCTGTAGTCCCAGCTACTCCGGAGGCTGAGGCAGGAGAATGGCATGAACCTGGGAGGCGGAGCTTTCAGTGAGCTATCCAGCCACTGCACTCCAGCCTGGGTGACAGAGCGAGACTCTGTCTCAAAAAAGAAAAAAAAAAAATTTGTAAACAAACGATGATGAAAACAGGAAACTGAATACAATTACGAACAATGAATTTAATCTTTAGTTTCTTCTGCTTTATACTATATGTGAATTTGGTCTAGAAAATACAACATAAAAGGAAATAAGTAAAAACCAAACGTTGAGCATTACTAAGGTAAAAATGTTGAATGGAATACTTTATTATGTATTTATGTATTTATTTGTTTGTTTATTGAGACATGGTTTTACCCTGTTTCCCAGGCTGGAGTGCAGTGGCATGACCATGGCTCACTACAGTCTTGAACTTTCATGCTCAAGCTATCCTCTGACCTTAGCCTCCTGAGTAGCTGGAACTACAGGTGCATGCCACCATGCCTGGCTAATTAATAATAATTTTTTTTTTTTTTTGTAGAAACAGGCTCTCGCTATATAGCCAGGGCTGGTCTCAAACTCCTGGGCTTAAGGGAGCCTCCTATCTTCATCTCCCAAATTACTGGGGTTATAGATGTGAGTCATCAGGTGTCGCCTGAATGATATATTTTAATGATGTACCTAGCACATGAGTTTCAAAGTTTTCACTCTCCAAGAATTTTCATAAGGTCAGTTTAATTATTAATAGCATGTTTTACAGTTATAGAATTAATGCATAAATACAGTAAAACAAAATGTGAAACTATAGAATTGTATGAAATAAAAAATAAGAATATTTCTTCTATCTCTGTACATTTTCCATCTTTACCATGTTCAACATATCTTTATTACTATTATGAAAAATTTAAAGAATATACAAAAGGAAATAAATAGCATAATGAATGAATAGTATAATTAACTCATTGACCTAATACCCAGCTTCAGTTTTAGACAGTCCTGATTCCTCTGATCCCACTTCCCTGACATAGATTAATTGAAGAGCATTTCTGGCATCCTGTCATTTCATCCATGAATATTTGGAGGTATCCACCTCCAAAGGGTAAGGATCCCCTTTTTAAAATAATACATCTAAAAATTAGCCAGAATTACTTACTTTTAACCAAAATCCAGTCGCTGTTCAAATTTCCCTGATTGTCTTACTTTTTTTTTTTTTTGAGATAGAGTCTCGCCCTGTCACCCAGGCTGGAATGCAGTGGCAAGATCTCGGCTCACTGCAACCTCCGCCTCCTGGGTTCAAGCGATTCTTTTGCCTCAGCTTCCCAATTAGCTGGGATTACAGGTGCCCACCACCATGCCTGGTTAATTTTTTGGATTTTTAGTAGAGACGGGGTTTCACCATATTGGCATGTTGGTCAGGCTTGTCGGCCAGGATTGATCTCCTGACCTCAAGTGATCCACCCACCTCGGCCTCCCAAAGTGTTGGGATTACAGGTGTGAGCCACGCTGCCTGGCCAGTCCTACATATTTTTTCACACCATTTTTCTTTTTTTAAAAGAGCAGAATCCTTGTACGGATATTACGATGGATTGCAGAGTCTCTAAAGCATTCTTCATTCTTATTCTTCCCCTTCCATCTTTTTTTTCCATGCAATTCGTTAAAGAAACTAGGACAGAGTCCACAGTGTAGATTTTTATGATTGTGTCATCACTGTGGTATCATTTAACACGCTACTCTGACCTCAGTATTTTCTGTGAAACCCACATGTCAGGGGTGTTGGGCAGATTTGTTTGCTTCTGGGTTTGTGTTTCCAACACTCAGACTCAGGACCTGGTAACAATCCCCTATAGCAGTTCGTAACTATTTGCTTGATTTTGACTGAACACCAGAGGGCAGTGCAGGTGGACACCAAGAGCATTGCTGTCAACACACAGAGGCCTGTGGGCACAGGGGTCCTGCACTGCGAGGCCAAAGCTCCCTTCTCTGCTCCTAAGCAATCCCTTTCCCTCCTCTGAAGGACAGCCACGTACTCTAGGTCCTAACCTCTGGAGTGCACTAATGACCAAGAGGTGCATGAGCACCAAATGTGAGAGGACAGGAGTCTGGAAACCTAGCACAGGAGTCTTCTCAGAACCTTAGGACATTCCTACTGTTGTGAGGGTAGGAGAAGAATGCCTAGCTAAGGAAACAAGTGTTTAGTGTCCAATGTGAGTAACTGCCATGGGGAAGAATAAAGCAGGGAAGGGCAAGAAGATGCCCAGGGTGGACAAAGAAGCTCTCATTGATAAAGAGACATTAGAACACACATCTGAAGGTGGCGAGATAGTCAGCCTTTCAGATATCTGGAGCAAGCTTGTTGCACTAACAGGAAAAAGCAGGTGCAAAGGCCCTGGGGCAGGAACGTGCTAGTTGTGTTTGAGGGGGGCAGCAAGCTGTTGTAACTGGAACAGAGAGAGAAGGGGGAAGATGGTAGTGAATGAAATCTGAAAAGGAACAGATTATGTACGATTTTTAGGCCATTATAAGGACTTTGGCTTTTACTCCTGTGAATCAGAAAGCTACGTGACTGGGGTGGGGTAGTGCTTTACTAAGAGGAGTGGCGCTCTCTGATAATTTTTAAAGGCTCACTCTGGTTGCTAAGTTACAAATACATAGAATGTGTCAGCTGGGAGATCAATGGGGAGGCGATTGCAATCATCTGGGGTGGCTGCTACAATCTATGTTAGAAACTTGCATGTTTCATGCCTTTTATTTTAGGCAAGTTCATCAGCATTTGCTTTTCAGATACTTAATGAATCCTTCAGTCTATTCAGAGAATAAGGCATGTGTTGAAATGATCAGTACACAGTATTAGAAAATGGAAAGTCATGAATATAATAACAGAGACGCCTTTAGGGGCAACGTGAGGTCAAGAGAGGAAGGGACTGCGGCCAGCTTGGCAGGTGAGCCTGGCATAGGACAGGCCTTCCTTGAGATGGTCACAAATACAGTTTTATCAGTTTTCCTTGTGATGGTCACAAATACAGTCTTATCAGTTTTCACAAATAAAACCTTACAAATGTTCACTAATAAAATGCTACAACATATCCTATACCATATGCCAATTTAAGATAGGTTTTACTCCAATGAGTTAGGTTATCTGTAAATAACACATGGTCAAATCCCATATGTCTGTGTAGCAAATACTTTCTCAGTGTCCTGTTGTTTTTAATCCAGCATGTTCCACCAGCCTGGCCTAGGCTAGGGCTGGCACCTAGATAGTCATTAGGGTAAGTGTGTGTTTGTTTTGGGGTGTGGATTTCTTTTGGGGTGTGTGTGTGTGTGTGTGTGTGTCTGTGTGTGTAAGACTCATTGGCTCTACTCCAGGCCCCCTCTATCAAAATTTCTGGAGGTGGGAATCAAGTGTGATACTGATTTGGAAACCACCAATTCAGCTCACAGTTTTCTAGTCCAGTCTGTAACAGCTGCCTTCATGACAAACTGAATGCTGAAAGCTGTGGAAGGTGCCGGTAAACAAAAATAGAGGTGGAGGGAAAGCCATTTCAGACAAAGGGGATAGAGCACTAAACAACATAGGAGTCAGACCGGATTGGTTTTGCAGTGACTTCTGATGGCCTTTGCAAGTGTTCCATAACTGGATTTGCCTGGAATGTGGGGTTCAGGGTCCTTGGAAGAGAGTAGGTAGAAATAAGGTTTTGGAGCGTGTGAAATTAGATTGTGGAGGGCCTCACATGTTGAGCAAAGGACACTAAAGTTTATTTTCTAGGTAATAGGGAGCCAACCAAAATTTTTAAAATGAATGATGACACCAGAGAACTATGGTTCAAGAACTCCACACGTCTGACAGTCGTGTGTAATAATAACTGTTGTGTTATGAGTCCAGAGATGAGAAAGCTTTCTGCATTCATTCAGGAGAGAGGGGGTTGGGTGCTTAAATAGGAATAGGCCACTGGGATGTGTAGGTTGGAATGAATGTGAGAGACAGAAGACGTGAACAGCAGAAGAGAAAGGACAAGGTCAAACGTGGCACTGGGGTTTTAAATACAGGAAATTGGGAGGATGAACCAGCAGACTTAGCAAGATACAGAAGAAAAAAGAGATTTAGGAAAAACGTAGTATGGGTCAGCCAGATTTGGGGATGCCGATGCCATAACCAACTATAACCAATGGAAGATGATTTAACACAGTTGTAAGTATCTTGAAGCCAATGGTCTGTTTAGATGGGAAACAGTCTTTCATTTTCAAATTTAAAACTTTATTCTTAAAATGTGTACATTTAATCCAGAATAATCTATGGATATGTATTGAATAAATGCGTTCATTTTTAAATTTATATTTGATTTGTAGTGTCCCATTTCACTATAGTTTTCTGAAGAAATCTCAGTTCTTTATGCAAACTGTATCATAATAGTCAAGAATTTAAGATTACTTTCGTGTTCAAGGTCCTATCTCCAATTATCCTCTTGTTTAACGTGATTGCCTTTTGACCTACTTTCCATCTTAACATTAACATTATATTTTTTAATTATCCTGAATCAAATTTCGATTTAAGAAACTCCAAAAATAACAAAAATTGGAAACAGCCTATAACATTTTAGGAAATCAAGAAATATATTTAATTGTAACACCCACTTTCATATTCCACAAGAGAAAAATAAAGCAAAGCCTGATCAAGACGTGCCTTTAACACAACTCAATCACCTTTGAGCCTTCATTCTTTACCAGTCTCTCTATTCTCTGTGCCTATTTTCTACTCTCCCTGAGCAGAAATTTAAGTGTCACATTTTGCCAAGGCCTCCATTACATGAGTAATGAGTGCTTACATATATTGATATCCCCTGATTTTCTGTTGGTGAAGTTTCCAGGAACATTCATTCTCTTGGGAGGAGTAGAGACTCAGGTAAAAGTCATGTCTCTTCATCTTCCATCCTTCAGAGATTACTGGTGGCCAGAACACCTATGTGGGAGAGTGGGTATGGGAAGTGGGGTGTGTGGATAAAGAAACTCTGTTCGGGAGAGGCTCCCAGGGATCTGTGAGTCAGAGGAGTCACCTATCTTTAGGGTTGCACAAATCTAGCACCTTCTATGAAAACTGCATTCACCCAGAATGTGAAAAGAAAAAAGGGATGGCTGAGAACTTTTAAAATTCAGCAACAGACACCTGCCCACAAATCAAAGAACCTCAGAGAACACCAGATGCTACTATCCTGTCATAAATTAGGTAGTTATTTTATTAAAATAAAAAGATAGGGCCGGGCGCGGTGGCTCACGCCTGTAATCCCAGCACTTTGGGAGGCTGAGGCGGGTGGATCACAAGGTCAGGAGATCGAGGCCATCCTGGCTAACACGGTGAAACCCTGTCTCTACTAAAAATACAAAAACATTAGCTGGGCGTGGCGGCGGGCGCCTGTAGTCCCAGCTGCTGGGGAGGGTGAGGCAGGAGAATGGCGTGAACCCAGGAGGTGGAGCTTGTAGTGAGCCGAGATCGCGCCACTGCACTCCAGTCTGGGCGACAGAGCGAGACTCTGTATCAAAAAAAAAAAAAAAAAATTGAGCAGATAATAGAGTTCCTATAAACAATCTCCATTTCCCCCCACAGTTCCTCCATTATAAATATCTTGCATTAATGTGGCACATTTATTACAATAGATGAGCCAATATTTATTTATACCATCAATTTATACTAACGTCCCCGCTTTGCTTTGTATAGTTCTATGAGTTCTGACAAATGTATATCGTGTATCCACTATTACAGTATTACGCAGAATAGTTTCACTGATTTAAAAATCCCCTGTGATTCAGCTTTTCATCCTTCTTCTGCTCTCCTCAAGGCCCTTGCAACCACTGATCTTACTGCCTCTAAAGTTTTGCCTTTGCCAGAATGTCATATGGCTGGAATCATACAGTATGTGGCTTTTTCAGACTGGTTTCTTTCACTTAGCAATATGTACTTAAGGTTCCCCTTGTCTTTTTGTGGCTTCACAGCTCAATACCTTTCATTGCTAAATAATATTCCAATGTATACGTGTACCATAGTTTGTTCATCCATTTACCTATTGGATATGTTGGTTGCATCTGGTTTTAGATGATACGAATAAAGCTTCTATAAATAGTCACGTTCAGGATTTTGTATGGACATAAGTTTTCAATTCAATTGGGCAAATACCTGGGGGCATGACTGCTGGATTATATAGCATGTTTAGTTTTTAAGAAACTGCCAAACTGTCTTCCCATGTGACTGCACCATTTTGCATTCCCACTAGTAATGAAAGAGTTTTGGTTGCTTCGCATCCTTGCCAGCATACAGCACTGTCAGTTTTTTGGAGTTTAGTCATGCTAATAGTTGTATAGAGGTATCTCATTGTTGTTTTAATTTGCAATTCCTTTTTAAATAATTTCAACTTTTATTTTAGATTCAGGGGGTTCATGTGCAGGTCTGTTACCTGGGTATATTGTGTGATACTGAGGTTTGAGGTATGATTGCTCCCATCACTCAGGTACTGCGCATAGTACCTAATGGTTTTTCAACCCTTCCCTCATCTACTCCCCGCCAGTAGTCCCCAGTGTCAGTTGTTGCCATCTTTATGTCCCTAAGTACCCAGTGTTTAGCTCCCAGTTATAAGTGAAAACATGCAGTATTTAGTTTTCTGTTCCTGTGTTAATTTGCTTAGGATAATGGCCTCCGGCTGCATCCATGTTGCAATTCCTTGATGATCTATGTTATTGAGCATATTTTCATCTGCTTATTTGCCCTTTGTGTATCTGTAGTGAGGTGTCCAGATTTTGCCCACTTTTTAACTAGGTTTTTTTCCTTATTGTTGTGTTTTCAGTGTTTTTTTTGTATATGTTGGATATATTGATATATTTTTTGCATATATGTATATGTCGGTGTATTTTAGTGATGTAAAATGAATGGAATCTATAGCCTTAAACATAATATAAATATATAATGGTTAAGATTTCCCACTCAACAATCCAGGCTTGACAGAAAATCATAAAATGTATTTAAATGTAAATGTTTTTTTCTTTGTTGATACTAGTTCTTAGTTTTAACATGCCGAAGAGGGTATATTTGATCAAGGACAAGATTAAATGTTCTGATTGGCTAACTATCAAACCGCTGCCTCCACTTTTTTTTGCAACTTGAAAATAATATTTAGTTATCATGCTAGCACAGCCATATTAATATATACCCCTTCAAAACTTTAAACATAAAGCTTTAACGGTTTCAGGAAAAAGAAATATTAATGATGCTGAGATTGGTGGACACGGATTCTGTGTAGTGAGACACTAAAAAGTAATTTTTCAAACAGGAAAGTTAAAGCACTTTAAAATCACAAAGCTATTGGTAATTAAAAAAAGAATTAGTATCAATTTCTGAAATACAAGATTAGAGGGACACCTAAAATTCTGAAAGGTCTTACAGAATTTTTTAAAAAAGTAATTGCAATTTAGATCAAAGTTCCCCACTTTTCATTCCAAGTGTGACACAGGTTTAAATAATAAACAGACAAAAAGTTTAGATAAATTCATGAATTATTGAACCAGATGATAAAAAATAGGGAAGCTATTTAGGGCATAGTCTCTAGTGTGTAAGGGTGACATCCTAAATAATAAATTTATGCTATTGTTGACAATATTGTTGACAAGGCTAAATGGTCAATGTGCTTGACATATTGCCTGGTTTTTCATGTTCTATTGCATGAGCTGATTCTCTCTCTCTCTTTTATTTATATTTTTGAACTCTGCCATTATGTTATCATGGACATTATGCCAACAATTTGATGCATCTATGTATATGCTTTAAATCTCTGGGAATAAATTTACTGAGTGCTACTTATGTGAACAAACTTCTCTTAAGCACAAATGGAAATCCACAAAGAAAGACAGCCTCTTCTATTTGTTTTATGTGAGGCAACAGATACACTGTAGACAAAAAGACCAAGTATAATTAACTCATATTGGTAACTAACAATATCTGCATATTACATATTTTTCTATTATGTTTTCTGAGCAACTTCGTGGCTTCTGATTTGGAGGGGTAGGATTTCATAGTTAATACTTTTTTTTTTTTTTTTGGTGAGATAGAGTCTAGCTCTTGTTGTCCAGGCTGGAGTGCAATGGTGAAATCTCAGCTCACTGCAACTTCCGCCTCCCAGGTTCAGATGATTCTCCTGACTCAGCCTCCCGAGTAACTGGGATTACAGACACCCAGCATCATGCCTGGCTAATTTTTGTATTTTTAGTAGAGATGGGGTTTCACCATATTTGCCAGGCTGGTCTTGAACTCCTGACCTCAGGTGATCCGCCCGCGTTGGCCTCCCAAAGTGCTGGGATTACAGGCGTGAGCCACTGCGCCCGGCCCATATTTAACACTTCTATAAATATTTGTGCATATTGAAAGGAACATTACTCCCCACACTGCAACTGAACAAATGAGTGATAATGTTAATTTCCTTATTCTTGAGCTTTTCTTGAATAAAAGAGGGTCGTAGGACATGGAACAAAATAGACTAGAAAATAGGGTTGATAAGGTACTGATTCTGCCAACACTGCTTAATGCTCTCCCCAAGCAATTGTCTTTTAGATATGTTGATTTCCCAGTGTGAATGGTATTTTTTAAATATGTCAAGCAATTAAGAATATAAGTCTATTCTCATCTCAGCTAAACGTAGAATCTTTACAAAGAATTTGTGGTATCCTTAACCCTAATATGTGGAGAGATATGATTAAAAATGTTCACCACCTTATTTTCATTTATTTATTTATTTATTTATTTATTTATTATTTTGAGACAGAGCCTCACTCCACCCAGACTGGAGTGCTGTGGTGTGACCTCGGCTCATTGCAACCTCTGCCTCCCAAGTTCAAGTGATTCTCCTGCCTCAGCCTCTCAAGTAGCTAGAATTATAGGAATTCACCGCCATGCCCAACTAATTTTTCTTTTTTTTTTTTTTTTTGGTGAGACAGAGTCTCACTCTGTTGCCTAGGCTAGAGGGCAGTGGCACCGTTTTGGCTCACTGCAGCCTCCGCCTTCTGGGTTCAAGCAATTCTCCTGCCTCAGCCTCCTGAGTAGCTGGGATTACAGGCACCCGCTACCACACCCGGATAATTTTTTGTATTTTTCGCCATGTTGGCCAGGTTAGTATTGAACTCCTGACCTCAAGTGATCTGCCTGACTCGGCCTCCCAAAGTGCTGGGATTACAGATGTGAGCTACCACATCCAGCCATCACCTCTTGTAAAGTGCAGTAAAGAAATAGTGGGCAATAGACAGGCAGGGGATAGAGGAAAATGTTTTGGGAGTGGGACAATATGAACTTATTGTCATGACAGGACCAAAAAGGGAAGACGTCTGCCTATCATAATTAATACTAACTCTATCAGTCAACATTTATGTTTTACAATTGTTCTGTAAAAGAAAAGCCAGCAAACATTACAGATTCTAGTCCCTAATAACTGATCAAGAAAGACACTCTAAGCTTGTGCATCAGCATTCTCTTTTTATCTAAAAGAAAATATATTAAATACAGGGAGGAATGGCAGGAGTAAAGAGACTTGAAGGAAAAGAAAATATTGACTTTTTAATGATATTTTACAATGCTAAGATCTTTAGAAACCAACTATTCCATATGTCCTTTAAATATTAGTTTGGTGCAAAGGTAATTACAGTTTTTGTCATAAAAGTAATGGCAAAACTACAATTACTTTTGCACCAACCTAACTGATACATTCATTCCATTTTGGAGGTATTGCAAATATGCTGAATCAATGAATTTCTTCAGTATTTTTCATTGTATTAGTACAAATTTAACCTAATAGTATTCTTCTGCATGTTATTTCCCTTTGTGCTTCCTTTAATGCAATGAAGTTGTAGTTACCAAATAGAGTGCCCTAAAAGGGCAAGGCTTGTCTGTGAATTGAGCCTAGCATAGAATTGGCTCTCAGTGAAGATCTGCTGAACGTTACATGAATGCATCAACGTCATAATCCTTCATGTGCTTGTAAGCAATTAGTAAAATTTTCTCTGGCCTATTCAGGCCTGTGTTCTTCAAAATTCTTCAAAATATATGGACGTGTTTGCTGTTTCTATTAGGTTTTAACTTCTGGTATCAGAAACCAGGGCTGTTTTTCTTAATTTGTGTCCTAAAACTACAGTAGGGTTGTATGCATTGTGATAATGCTTAATAAATATATAAAAAGATTAATATCCATTCATTTACATTTTCTTAATCAAACCCAATTTCTGGAGGAGTAGCTGTGAAACTCTCAACTGGACGAGCTCTGACTAGTGTTAAGTATAGGATATTGGGAAAAGGGCTTCTATATGCAACATATATGTGAGGCAAATGAGAAATATTAGCTGGGCTACATTAAATCCCAATGACATGAATAGAAATTTTATTATCCAGGTAGCAAAAATGAAGTCAAAAAAATAAATAAGAGAATGAAGTAAAGGTATGGGGCAAAACAATTAGCTTTTTCTTTAAGTCAATATTTTAGAAAATAGCTTTTGAAGGCCCAATCACACAGAAAATTGACACTTTGACTTTTCTTTGCACTGTGTTAGACATAGGTAAAAGGATGTCTCAGCACTGTACCTTCATGTAGAAAATGTAATTAATACCAAATTGCATAAAAGTACACTAAAATTTTAATTCTTACATCATTTTAATAAATTTCTTGAGATTTTACTTTATTTAGTGTGTCATTAAAACACAGGATTTAAGGAAGATATATATAATAAAGGAAAATGGTAAGTTACCATTCTTGTGTAAACACGTTTTGTAAATACTATTTCAACAAAGATTTAAAAGTTAATTACAAAGGTATAAAGTTATGAAGTATTATATAAACAGGATTCATAATTTTGTTTTAAATGGTCTTTTCATGTATCAAAATACTATCAGTTTAAAACAACCTTTTATTTTAAGGCAGTAGGCTCTGTTTACCATCATTTACAATTGCTTTAATTAGAATTTTCTTCACTTTCAGTATATTCAAGAGCTATTCTGTTGGCCATAATTTTTAAGATAAAGTTTATCCAAATAGAAAAGTAATTATATAATGATTAAGTGCCAGAATGTGTGGGTTCAAATTCCAGTTCTGCTACTTATCAGGTATAAGAATTTGGGCAAATTTCTTAGTTTCTCTGTGCTTCAGTTTCCTGATCTGTAAAACTGGGATAACAAGACTACCTGCCTCAATCTGCGGTTATGAGTAAATGAGTTAATACATAAGAGCAATGCAATAATCCTTGGCATGTGGTATGCGTTCAATAAACATTAGCTATTATTATTATAGTAAATTAGAAATTTAATTCTAGAGAATAAAAAGCTGAACTCAAATATGTAACTATTTATTCGATACAGGCACATTTTCCACAAAATAAAAAACCGTCAGTTTGCACTTGCCTTATATAATGACTATTCTGGTGTTTGTGTGTATCTCTTGTGGGTCGGGGGTCTTGGGCTGAGTAAATAATCACATTAAAAATTTTAAAGACTTCCGATTAAAACAGAAATAAGAACAAATGGCCATTCGTGGATCATTTGCAAAGCTGAACGAATACTTGACATGTCTTTCTGTGATTCCTTGCAGATATCATGGAAATCAGGACAGTGGCAGTTCGGATTGTGGCAATCAAAGGGGTGGAAAGTGAATTCTATCTTGCAATGAACGAGGAAGGAAAACTCTATGCAAAGGTATTGATAATTGATAGCTTAGGCTTAATTTTTAAAACTCATTTTTGTTGAAATATCTCACCATTCTGAAAAGTAAACATGGACTTAATCTATCTCCAACTGTATAATTTAATGATTTTATTAAAACACTTTATACTCAAATGTTAAGAAAAAATGTTTTCTGTGTGACTTTGGACAAATGGCTTGTTCTTTGGATTCTGGTTTCTTCATCTGTAAAATGAGTTGAATTAGCTGACCTCTAAGGAGCCTTCCAGCTCTAACATTCCATGTGCATTTTAGATATTTAAAATCCAAAATTTCCATTTGCCAGTATTAAAGCTCTTTTTGCTAAAGTTCACCCAATTTGCACATTGCTGACATGAAAATTCTTGGGAAAAAATCTTGAAATGTTTAGTTCATTCATCAACATCAATCTCACAATCATGGGCTTTGAACTGTAATTATTCACATTGTTCCCACTTCACTACAATGCAAAATATGTAACAGTTCATCCCACTGTAATAAAATATAATTGGCTTTCCTTTGTATTCCCACAGCTCAGCATAATGCCTGGAACAGGCTAATTATATAATGATACAGGTTTAATTGAATGAACAAATGGTTGCATGGATGAACAAACAAATTAACCTTTTATCTTCCATTACCACTGAAGACAGTGTACAAGTAAATAAAGAAAAGTTGTGAAACAAGTCTCTCACCTGAGGGAGGCAGAGGTTCTGCTAATTCTACCAAATTTCCAGTGGTTAAAGAATGAGTGATGTGGGAAGAGTAATTTGAGGCCTGTTACTTAGGGGGAAATAGGTCCTAATTTTAAAGAATAGTTGACATGAACTTCCAAAAAGCTACACATATTTCACACTAGCTGTGCATTATGTGGTGTCTTTATTTCAAATTTAAGATACCTTTTTATGCAAATATACTACATAAGTCTAGCTAATAAACCACATTAGGCCTGCTCAATCTGAGGGTTAAAAAAAGTTGTGTATGTTTCAATTCTACCAAATATTGCTGCTTACTCTTCGTTTAATTGAGCCTCTCTAAAAATCATTTGGATAATGTTTGTGTGTTTGTTTGTTTGTTTGAACAGAAAGAATGCAATGAAGATTGTAACTTCAAAGAACTAATTCTGGAAAACCATTACAACACATATGCAGCAGCTAAATGGACACACAATGGAGGGGAAATGTTTGTTGCCTTAAATCAAAAGGGGATTCCTGTAAGAGGAAAAAAAACGAAGAAAGAACAAAAAACAGCCCACTTTCTTCCTATGGCAATAACTTAATTGCATATGGTATATAAAGAACCAGTTCCAGTAGGGAGATTTCTTTAAGTGGACTGTTTTCTTTCTTCTCAAAATTTTCTTTCCTTTTATTTTTTAGTAATCAAGAAAGGCTGGAAAACTACTGAAAAACTGATCAAGCTTGACTTGTGCATTTATGTTTGTTTTAAGACACTGCATTAAAGAAAGATTTGAAAAGTATACACAAAAATCAGATTTAGTAACTAAAGGTTGTACAAAATTGTAAAACTGGTTGTACAATCATGATGTTAGTAATAGTAATTTTTTTCTTAAATTAATTTACCCTTAAGAGTATGTTAGATTTGATTATCTGATAATGATTATTTAAATATTCCTATCTGCTTATAAAATGGCTGCTATAATAATAATAATGCAGATGATGTTATATAAGGTGTATCAGACCTACAGGCTGCTGGCAGGATTTGTCAGATAATCAAGCCACACTAACTATAGAAAATGAGCAGCATTTTAAATGCTTTCTAGTGAAAAATTATAATCTACTTAAACTCTAATCAGAAAAAAAGAATATTCTCAAAAAAATCTATTACGAAAGTCAATAAAATAGATAATTTAACAAAAGTACAGGATTAGAACATGCTTATACCTATTAACAAGAACAAAATTTCTAATGCTGCTCAAGTGGAAAGGGTATTGCTAAAAGGATGTTTCCAAAAATCTTGTATATAAGATAGCAACAGTGATTGATGATAATACTGTACTTCATCTTACTTGCCACAAAATAACATTTTATAATTTCTCAAAGTAAAATTGAGAAATCTTTAAGTTTTTTTCAAGTAACATAATCTATCTTTGTATAATTCGTATTTGGGAATATGGCTTTTAATAATGTTCTTCCCACAAATAATCATGCTTTTTTCCTATGGTTACAGCATTAAACTATATTTTAAGTTGTTTTTGAACTTTATTATTTTGTTATTTAAGTTTATTTTATTTATTAAAAAAACCTTAATAAGCTGTATCTGTTTCATATGCTTTTAATTTTAAAGGAATAACAAAACTGTCTGGCTCAACTGCAAGTTTCCCTCCCCTCTGTGACCGAGACTAAGTCTAGCACACAGCACTTGGGCCAGCAAATCCTGGAAGGCAGACAAAAATGAGAACCTGAAGCAATGCTTACAGTAGATGTCTCACACAGAACAATACAAACATGTAAAAAATCTTTCACCACATATTCTTGCCAATTAATTGGATCATATAAGTAAAATCATTACAAATATAAGTATTTACAGGATTTAAAAGTTAGAATATATTTGAATGCATAGGTAGAAAAGTATCATATTTTAAAACTATGTATATTTAAATTTAGTAATTTTCTAATCTCTAGAAATCTCTGCTGTTCAAAAGGTGGCAGCACTGAAAGTTGTTTTCCTGTTAGATGGCAAGAGCACAATGCCCAAAACAGAAGATACAGTTAGGAATAAGGGGCCTTGAATGTCATGAAGGCTTGAGGTCAGCTTACAGATAACAGGATTATTAAAAAGATGAATTTCCACTTCCAAAGTCTTTCATTGGCAGATCTTGGTAGCACTTTATATGTTCACCAATGGGAGGTCAACATTTATCTAATTTAAAAGCTATGCTAACCATTGTGGTTTTAATTTCAAAATATTTGTCATTCAAGTCCCTTTACATAAATAGTATTTGGTAATACATTTATAGATGAGGCTTATATGAAAAGGCTAGGTCAACAAACCAATAGATTCATTTAATTTTCCTGTGGTTGACCTATACGACCAGGATGTAGAAAACTAGAAAGAACTGCCCTTCCTCAGATATACTCTTGGGAGAGAGCATGAATGGTATTCTGAACTATCACCTGATTCAAGGACTTTGTTAGCTAGGTTTTGAGGTCAGGCTTCAGTAACTGTAGTCTTGTGAGCATATTGAGGGCAGAGGAGGACTTAGTTTTTCATATGTGTTTCCTTAGTGCCTAGCAGACTATCTGTTCATAATCAGTTTTCAGTGTGAATTCACTGAATGTTTATAGACAAAAGAAAATACATAATAAAACTAATCTTCATTTTAAAAGGGTAAAACATGACTACACAGAAATTTAAATAGAAATAGTGTATATACATATAAAATACAAGCTATGTTAGGACCAAATCTCTTTGTCTATGGAGTTATACTTCCATCAAATTACATAGCAATGCTGAATTAGGCAAAACCAATATTTAGTGGTAAATCCATTCCTGGTAGTATAAGTCACCTAAAAAAGACTTCCAGAAATATGTACTTTAATTATTAGTTTTTCTCCTATTTTAAAATTTATTATGCAAATTTTAGAAAATAAAATTTGCTCCAGTTACACCCACTTAGAATTCCAGAATCTTAAAACTGTAAGGGGCCTCCATCCCTCTTACTCATTTGTAGTCTAGGAAATCGAGATTTTGATACACCTAAGGTCAAGCAGCTGAGTAGATATACAACTGTCACAAGAGTCTAGATCAGTTGGCACATGCTTTCTATACTAGATTATTAGTATTATTAGCTAATGGTCTTCTGCATTTTTTTGTTTTTTTATTTCTATTGAGATATAGCCTTTACATTTGTACACAAATGTGACTATGTCTTGGCAATGCACTTCATACACAATGACTAATCTATACTGTGATGATTTGACTCAAAAGGAGAAAAGAAATTATGTAGTTTTCAATTCTGATTCCTATTCACCTTTTGTTTATGAATGGAAAGCTTTGTGCAAAATATACATATAAGCAGAGTAAGCCTTTTAAAAATGTTCTTTGAAAGATAAAATTAAATACATGAGTTTCTAACAATTAGAAAGGAAAAAATTAAAATATGAAATGATAACAAAAGTAAACAAAAGATACTTTCAAAGCAGTGAACAAAACATTTTGACATAAGCCATAATATAAATTATAATATAAAAATATAAAAACCATAGTATAAATTGTCAATCTTTGAGTTGGCTATGAATTCAATTTAATGACAGAAGAGAAGGGATGCTGGAGGTAAATTCTTAGAGTTTCTATCTCATAGAGTTTGCTCTTCTGATTCTCTAGACTGCCAAAGAACATAAAGATGTACAAGGGGACCTAGCTGTAGTAAAAGCATTGCTATAACAACAAAAACTCTAAAACAGTGCCCCTCACGATTTTCTACTGAAATTTCTCTAACAGTAGAGGTATAAAACAAGAAGTTAGAGAATAATGCAGAAGGGGCCCACCACAGAAATCACATTTCTTTTCTGTTAAGACTCATGTGATTTTTGCATCTTACTCCATAATGTATTAGTGGTTGCGTTAATATGACAATGTCTGCAATTAAACACCAGTAAGCAAAATCGATACATCAGAATGACTTGCAGGGCTTATCATGCAGTTTCATTTACATCCCTATCCCACTGCCATTTACTTGAGCGTGAATGACACACGGGAGATTCTTTGCCTTCCATGATCCAACTTTACACATAAATAACACAAGGCTAAAGAAAACCAGAACTCAAATTCACCATGCATAGGAGTGATAACAAAAATATTTAACAGTCAGTATGGGTGATTACTGGCCAATCAGAATACGTCACTGATATATCAAAATGGATGCAGGCCACTGTGACTAACTTGTGGGTATCATTTCTATGATCACCCTAAAACAGAGTTGGGAAAATATCAATTAACTGGTCTCTCTGGTTTGAATTCTCAATATGTATCTTAATATGAAATAGCTCATTAAAACTTCATGTGTAACTATTTCAGCATTGTTGTCAGCTACTCTTTATTCCACTTCTGTACAGTATTTATTCAACCAAGCTGCTGCTTTCAATGAAGGTCACTTGTTCCTTCAGGGACACATGTACTCCCACCTATCCTTTAATTTTGAATGGTTTGTCAAGAAAATTTACTTTCTCTTGAGTTGAAAAGACTTGACAGGAAGCAAGAAATAATACGGTCCTAGCCTCTTTCCAGTAACATCTGATTTCTCCATTCTCAAACTACACTTCTCAGGGAACCAGATATTTACTCTCGTCTGGGAAGATGCCTCTTATGTTTTCCTTTTACTTCCTGGTTATCATGTGGTTGCATTTTCCAAGTTCTTATCATTGAATTTATGAGAGCCTATCCAAATTTATTTTCTTTTATTTTCTAATAATTGAAATGTGAGATGAAAATAACATTTCACTTATGAAAAACGCTTCTCTTGATGAATCCTTCCATGTGTTAGTTATCTATTGCTCTGTAACAAAGGTGTTAGTTATCTATTGCTGTGTAACAAATTAAAACTTAATGGCTTGAAACAAATATTTGTTTTCTCATAGTTTATGTGGCTCAGGAGCCTGGACGTGGTTCAGCACAGTGTTTTTGGTCAGAATTCCTCATGAGGCTGCAATCAAGGTGTAGACCAGGGCTGTTAGTCATCTATCTCAATATTCAACTCAGAAAGGGATCCACCTTAGATCCTCACTGGCTCTTATCAGGACCTATCACTTCCTTACCACATGGACCTCTCCATAGCATTGCTTACAACATTACAGTCTGTTTCCCACGGAGCAAGAAATCAGAGAGTGTGAGATAAAGTACCCAAAATGGAAGCCACAGGTTTGTTTGTTTGTTTTAATATATATAACCTAGTTTCAAAAGTGATGTTACCTCTGCCTACACTCATGAGGAGGGTATTATACAAGGGCATACATACCAGAAAGCAGGGATCACTGGAAGTCATTTTACAGGCTGCCTAATCCAAGTCATGAACTAGATGTTTTTAATGTCACTGCCATAAACTGGGATTCTACAGGGTCTAATGAGAGTAATTAATTCATGGCTTTCAGTGGGGATCCATTCAGCAGAGAAAGAGATGAAATATGTATATTCTCTGTGGAAACACTCTTGATTCTTCCTTGAGGGATACTGCGTGGTCCATTCCTACACAGGATAATTAAGAAAAGGTTTGAACCAATCTGGACTTCCTATTAGCCTGAGATGTGGCTACTTAGAACTCCCAATGTAGCTGGAAAACTAACAATATCCCTTTGCCTCCACATGAAGCAAATTACCCTGCCATCAGACTCAACATGAAGATAATCCTCCCTTCAGCTGCTCTACCTCAAGAGAAAAAGATCATAGATGCCAGCTGGAATTCCTCTGGGCCATAGAGTGTTTTATTCTAGATGCTGAAGGCAATCAGCCACCATTTACCCAAGACCATCTGAGAATAAGACCTAAAAAGACTTGAAAACAATTGATTTCAATGGTAGGTACACACTGGTATCCCCTGTTCTGTATATATCTACAGATACTTAGATATATACAAAACAGGATATATATATATATATAGAGAGAGAGAGAGAGAGAGAGAGAGAGACAGAGAGAGACAGAGAGAGAGACAGAGAGACAGAAAGAGAGAGACAGAGAGAGAGAGAGAGAGAGAAAGAAACACCTAGGCCCCAACTCAGGCCAATTACATCAGTGTATATGACAGGTGGCCCATGCAGTCGTATTTTAAAAATTCCCCAGAATATTCTAATGTGCCTCTGCAGTTGAGAACTAATTAGGTAAATGCAAACAACAACAAACACCAAAAAACCTCTTCAGAAACTATGCCTGCTTCTTCATCTTTGTCTCTTCTTTAAACACCTTGAAAGGCCTTATTCCCTTCCAGCCCCTCCTGCCCCTAGGTTTTCCTAGATGCTTCCGTATTTTCTGCTATGCACAACTGGGGCTCATAGGAAATGTAGGCACTAGAAAGAGAGTTACAATTGTTTTTGCATCAGAATGATTATGGAATAGAAAAAGGCATTTCATGCAAATGGACACCAAAAGCGAGCAGCGGTAGCTATTCTCATATGAGACAAAACAAACTTTAAAGCAACAGTAGCTAAAGTAGACAAGGACAGACAGTATATAATGGTAAAGGTCTCATCCAACAGAAAAATATGACAATCCCAAACATACATGAACCTAACACCGGAGCTCACAAATTTATAAAACAATTACTAGTAGACATAAGAAATGAGATAGACAGCAACACGATAATAGTGGGGGACTTCAATACTCCACTGACAGCACTAGACAGGTCATCAAGAGAGAAAGTCAACAAAGAAACACTGGATTTAAACTACACTTTGGAACAAATGGACTTAACAGATACATACAGAACATTTCATCCAACAACCACAGAATACACATTCTATTCCACAGCACATGGAATTTTCTCCAAGATAGACCATATGATAGGCCATAAAACGAGTCTCAGTAAATTGAAGAAAACTGAAATTCTATCATGCACTGTCTCAGATCACAGTGGAATAAAACTGAAAATCGACTCCAAAAGGAATCTTCAAAACCATGCAAATACATGGAATTTAAATAACCTGCTCCTGAATGAGCATTGGGTGAAAAACGAAATCACGATGGAAATATAAAAAATTTCTTCAAACTGGATGACACAACCTATCACCACCTATGGGATACAGCAAAGGCAGTGCTAAGAGGAAAGTTTGTAGCGCTAAACACCAATGTCAAAAAGCCTGAAAGAGCACAAACAGACAATCTAAGTTCACATCTCAGGGAACTAGAGAAACAGGAACAAGCCAAACCCAATCCCAGCAAACAAAGGAAATAACCAAGATCAGAGCAGAACTAAATGAAATTGATACAACAACAATAACAAATACAAAACATAAATAAAACAAAAAGTTGGTTATTTGAAAAGATAAATAAAATTGATAGACCATTAGCAAGATTAACCAAGAAAAGAAGAGAGAAAATCCAAATAACCTCACTAAGAAATGAAACAGGGGATATTACAACTGACACCACTGAAATATTAAAGGTTATTCAAGGGTACTATGAACACCTTTTGGCACATAAACTAGAAAACCTAGAAGAGTTGGATAAATTCCTGGAAAAATACAACCCTCCTAGCTTAAATCAGGAAGAATTAGATACCCCAAGCAGACCAATAAATCAAGCAGTGAGATTGAAATGGTAATTTTAAAATTACCAACAAAAAAAGCTGACGACCAGACAGAATCACAGCAGAATTCTACCAGACATTCAAAGAATGTCTTCCTTCATTCAAAGAAGAAATGATACCAATCCTTTCACACTATTCCACAAGACAGAGAAAGAAGAAACCCTCCCTGATTCATTCTATGAAGCCAGCGTCACCCTAATACCAAAACCATGAAAGGACGTAACCAAAAAAGAAAACTACAGACAAATATCCTTGATGAATACAGATGCCAAAATCCTTAATAAAATACTATCTAACTGAATCTGACAACATATCAAAAAGATAATCCACCATGATCAAGTGGGTTTCATACCAATGATACAGGAATGGTTTAACATATGCAAGTCAATAAATGTGATACACCAAATGAACAGAATTAAGAAAAACTCACACGATTATATCAACAGATGCAGAAAAAGCATTTGACAAAATCTAGCATTGCTTTATGATTAAAGCTCTCAGCAAAATAGGCATACAAGGGACATACCTTAATGTAATAAAAGCTATCTAGGACAAACCCACAGCCACCATAATACTGAATGGGGGAAAGGTGAAAGCATTCCCTTTGAGAACTGGAGCAAGACGAGGAGCATGCTCTCACCACTCCTCTTCAACAAAGTACTGGAAGTCCTAGCCAGGGCAATCAGACAAAAGAAGGAAATAGAGGAAATCGAAATCAGTAAAGAGGAAGTCAGACTGTCACTGGTTGCTGACGATATGACCTTTTGCCTTGAAAACCCTACGGACTCCTCTAGAAAGCTCCTAGAACTGATAAAAGAATTCAGCAAAGTTTCCAGATACAAGATTAATGGACACAAATCAGTAGCTCTTCTATAAATCAACAGCTACCAAGCAGAGAATCACATCAAGAACTCAACCCCTTTTACAATAGCTGCAACAAACAAACAAACAAACAAACAAAAAACAAAACTTAGGAATATACCTAGCAAAGGAATCAAAAGACCTCTACATTGAAAATTACAAAACACTGCTGAAAGAAATCATGGATGGAGCCAAGCACGGTGGCGCATGCCTATAATCCCAGCTACTCGGGAAGCTGAGGCAGGAGAATCGCTTGAACCCAGGAGGCAGAAGTTGTAGTGAGCCGAGATCACACCATTGCACTCCCACCTCGGCGACAAGACCGAAACTCCCTCTGAAAAAAAAAAACAAAAAAAACAAGAAAGAAAAGAAATCATAGATGACACAGACAAATGGAAACGCATCCCCATGCTCATGGATGGGTAGAACCAATATTGTGAAATTTACCATTCTGTTAAAGGCAATCTACAAATTCAATGCAATCCCCATCTGAATACCACCGTCATTCTTCACAGAATTACAAAAACAATTCTAAAATTAATATGGAACCAAAAGAGAGCCATGTAGCCAAACCAAGGCTAAGCAAAAAGAACAAACCTGGAGGCATCACACTACTTGATTTCAAACTGTACAATAAGGCCATAGTTACCAAAACAGCATGGTACTGGTTTAAAAATAGGAACATAGACCAATGGAACAGACGAGAGAACCCAGAAATTAACCCAAATACTTACAGCCAACTGATCTTCGACAAAGTACACAAAAACATAAAGTGGGGAAAGGACACCTTTTCAACACATGATGATGTTGGGATAATTGGCGAGCCACATGTAGGGGAATAAAACTGGATTCTCATCTCTCACCTTATACAAAAATCTACTCAAGATGGATTAAGAACTTAAACCTAATTCCTGAACTATAAAAATTCTAGAAGATAACACTGGATAAACCCTTCTAGACATTGGCATGGGCAAGGATTTCATGACCAAGAAGCCAAATGCAAATGCAATAAAAACAAAGATAAATAGCTGGGACTTAATTAAACTAAAGAGCTTTTGCATGGCAAAGGGAACAGTCAGCAGAGTGGACAACCCACAGAGTGGGACCCCTGACCCTGACCCCTGACCCCTATCCTCTGACCCTAACTCCTAACCCCTAACCCCTGACCCTTAACCCTAACCCCTTACCCCAACCCTCACCCTCACCCTAACCCCTAATCCCAAACCACTAACCTCTCTTAACCCCTAACTCTAAACGTTGACTCCTAACCCCTAACTCTGACCCCAACCCCTATCTCCAACCCCTAACCCTAAACTTAACCCCTAATCCCTAACCCTAACACCAACCTTAACCCTGGGTTCGTTACTACGTTTGTATTGACTATGTCAATGTTGATTATTATGATTGCTGTCTTAGGACTGCATGGCAGCGAGGGGATTGCGGATCTTATATTAATATTTTTGTATTGAGGCAGTGCATTAGCATTACAGGTGCTTGTTACATGAGCAATGGGGGTGTCATATTTTGGGTGTCATGTCTGCATTAGGAATGCTGCATTTGTCTTCTGAGGCTGTGGTGTGGATCTCGCACTGCGGCCGCCTCGCCTTGGCTGGGGAGAACCTCGGTGGGCAGGATTCAGAGGGGCTTTTGGTTTCCCGTTTTCCACACTGAACCCTTCTAACTGGTCTCTGACCCTGATTATTCAGGGCTGCAAACAGGAAGGATTTTATTCACCGGGGATGCGGCCCGGAGTTGTCCCAAAGCGAGGCAGTGCCCCCAAGGTCTGTGCTGAGAACGCTGCTCTGCCTTCGTGGTGTCCCCCGGGTCTGTGCTGAGCAGAACGCAGCTGCGCCCTTGCAGTGCCCCCGGCCCGCCCGCCCGGCTCTGTGCTGAGGAGAACACTGCTCTGCCTTTGCTGTATCTCTGAAGTCTGTGCAGAGGAGAACTCAGCTCCACCCTCGCAAGAGGGTGACTGGGTAGCTGATGAATGGCAGCCCCTCCTGCCTGAATGCCCTCTATTGCTGGGCACTGCTGCACAGCACCTTTTTCCTGGCCTTAATACTTAACAATCTTTTAGAGAGCTCCATGCCTAACACTGAATCTTAAAATGTGACATTCTTCCTATAAAATCAATACTTAAACCACATTTTGTAAATTCATACCAAAATAGAAACCCAGGAAAAAAAGCACCCCTTTTGTCCTCTATTTTAATAATAAGAGGGAAAGGGGGCTGGGCTAAAGGGAACGGCTGCCCTTTCTGTGTGTGGAAAGCTATAATTTAAATATGCACACCAGATTTTCAAGCAGCACACTCTAAAGCATCAGCCCTGTTATTCAGATGATGGAGTTTGCAGACTTTCTGTTTGCCCTCCTCTTGCTTTTCCCACCTTTGGGGCTTTTCACTGTCCCCAGAAACCCAACCTTAGAATCGAGAAAGAAGGCAAAGACCATATCTAATAGACTCATAAGCTCCTTATTAATAATAGTTCAGTAAAGTGTAAATGGGGTAGGTGCCTTTTTTTGCAAAACAAAGTTTCTAGATTCTCTGTGTTGCATTTAGCCAGGCCCTCATTTCTAACCACAGGGTAGATAATCAAGTTAACAAAGACTGTTTTGTCCTTCTATTTCCATATGGACGTCATGTTTCACACCTGCACTCCTGTCTGCTCGGTTCCACAAAGGGACAGTAACCACTGACCGCATTTTAAATGTTCTTTGACTGCTTGCATTTTCAAAAGCACAGCACACGAGCATCTCGGTCAAGATGAGCTGGTAGGACTTCTCCTGACACCCTATTCCCTCACGGTGGACTTCTCACTGGAAACCTCCACTTTGCTGCTTAGCTCAGTGTGTCTCTGCAAATAGGCATGTTTAAGCAAAGAATAAATGCCTAAGGCGATGCAGGTGGGTAGCAGGGGAGAGTCAGGGAGACAAAAAGAACAGTAGCACTTACATGGAGCTCTGCCAGCTTTTGGGCTAACAGGGTCATGAACAGATCAGGAACCTGAGACAATCAAAGGACTTCACCCCACAAAGCCAGGGCACTCTCAGGAGCTGGAAAACCCAGGAGAATTTCCACATATTCCTGAGAGTTCCTCGTGCATTACCTTTAGTGCCTCATTAGCAGGAATGGGTCCTTCTGTAGTTTCACCAGACTGTTTCGCAGTAGAAAGAGGACAGACCAAGGAGCCCCAGTCCCACCTGTGACCTCAGGCAGTCACCTGACACCCCTGAGCCTCAGTTTTCTCATCTGTTCAGTGGGGATGGTATATTCTCCTTACAGGGCTGTGGAAAGGACAACATAATCTTACACAGAAAAAGTAGTACTAAGCTAACATTGGTTGAGTGCCTATTACATTCTACACAACGCGCTAAGTACTTTGCATATTTTGTCTCATTGAATCCTGATGACAACCCTGTGAAGTAGGAACTCTTACTATCCCCCATGCTATGGATGTAGAAGCTGGGGCTCAGAGCAGTTAAGTACCTGGCCAAAGGCCAGAAAGTCAACTAGAATTGATGTGTCCATTTTCATTCATTCATCATTGATTGAGTACCCGTTCCATGCCAGGCAATGAGAAGCAAATCACAAATAGTCCCTGCCCTCATGGCACTGACACTCTTGTTACTGCAAAGTACAAGGTGCAGAGTAAATGGAAGTCAAATCAGATTCCAACTTCTACTCAACTCCCAGTAGGCCCCAGACTAAACTCTCCAGAACAATGGTACTGCTCCTGTGGTTTTGCCTGGTGCTCACGATTGAGACATACTCAAAGAAGAGACTGCTGGCTCTGCAGGTCCTCCAGGGACAGAAACCAGGAATGCTGGCCAATACAGAAACATCATAAACATTTTCCTTGTATTTCATGCATTCCTGGACCCATAGATCTGAAAGCAACCTTGAGAATGAACTGAATTTATTTCTCTGCCTCTGAGGAAGATTACATTTGAACTCTGCGTGACAGAGATCCAGCTAGGGAATCTTCACCTTAAAAACCTGGCTAAACAAAGCTCGTATTCATAAACAGTGAACTTAAGGGCATCCCCATGCCTTTAAATAGTGAACACTCTGGTGCATTTTAAGCAGGACTGATTCAGTGTATTCTCTTAGCACAGTTTTCAGGAATGCAAAATATACCTGTGCCCAGCATCTTAAGGCTTTTAAAAAGTAGATGATGCCTTTTTCTCTGTTCACTTACAAGCTCACGCCTTTAAAATCATTTGTTTGGAAGTCCTTCCTTAAATCTAACCTGAATCCAACCTGCTGTGCTTAAGGTTACCTCAGTAATCTTTCTAATACAACCCAAGAGAGAAGGACTGGAGGGAAGAATTTAAGACCCCCATGAGATGAGGAGCAGACTCCTAAGTTAGTTGTATCACTTGTGGCTAAATGTTGAATCATTTCCCTAATTTTTTCTAGCCACTCCCAGGCACTCCAACTGTCTCTGAGAATTTTCTTCTTGGACACACTTAAAGAAGCATCTGAAATTTGTGCCATGTAGCTTAGCACTTACTCAACAAGGATGAATCTTAGAGACCATCAAGTTTTGCCCAAGCAGGAGAGAAGAGGAAACTGAGATTCAGAGAACTGTGACTTAATCAAGGACCCATAGCAAATCTGTGGCAAACCTGGGAAGGTGACCCAAACTCCAGACCCCAAGCCCGGTGCTTTTTTTTTTTTCCAGATCTATGTCTCCCCCACATCTGACTCTGTTTCCCTGAGGTCCAGAGCCATGCCCTGTTCCTTTTTAGGATTCTCACGACCCAGGTTTAGGCACATTAGTTGTCCAAAGCACACTTGGCTTGCTCTGACTTGAGCAGTACAATGAGCTATGTCTTAGTTTCAGGCAAGACCACCTTGACCATGGGACATGAAAAGGCACTCTATGGGGCCTCTACTATGATGTAGCAGGGACTGTGTTAGCACATTGCTATAGCCCTGGGAAGCAAGAATTCTTAGCACCCATTGCCCAGATGAAGAAACTCACTTTCAGAGAGGGTAAAGAATGTCTCTGTGGTACCACAGCTATATAGTGGCTAGGCTGGAATTCAAAACCAGGTTTGCCTGCCTCCTTCTCCTGTATGATACTGCTTCATACACAGTCCCCAGAACCTTAACGACCAGGTGGAACGAACCAACAAGGTCATACTGAAATTGTGCACCAGTGCCCTAACGACCAAGAGAAAATACATTTCATCCAATTCAAAGGTATAAAGATGTAAGGTAGAAGCCACCAACTGTGGACATGGAGGAGCCTCAGAGCGACAGCACCTGCTGTCCAGGGTCTCCTCCTCCTCTCTTCCCTCGCAGTTTCTCTCTCCCTTCCTTTAACACTTATTGACTACGCCAGCCACACAGTAAGCGCTCAATAAGTGTTTGGGCCCATAACCTTCCTATGGGAAAGCCCCTTCACTTTCTGAACATGGCCTGGTACTGTCCAGATGCCCTTCTGTCCTGTGTGGTCCCAGGCAGGGGCATCTCCTTCTCTTCCAGGACCACTCTGAACCCTAACTTGATGGCAGCTGCCTGGTGATCTCATCATCCTCCTGACATGGCCATGTAGCTCCTCAGCTTCCATCATTCCTGAATCTCTGCAAGGTTATGGGGTTGCCTTGCTCCAGAGGACACAAAAGTGCTTAGCTCTGCTTGGATTTGCTCTTGGATGGTGGAGACCTGTGATTGCTCTTCCGCTCCCTTGAGCCTTCCTCATGGAGGTTTGCTGAGGCACAGTCTGTGATTGATTCCTCATGCCCCTGCTAGGTTTTAACAACTGGTGAAAACGTCTGCTTATATTTCACTCACACTCCCCTGGCTGCGGGTTCAAGTCACTGTTGATTTGGTCATTGGGTTACACACACGTGCAGCCTGGGTGGACCTGTATGAGTCTTCCCAGCATCAGCAGCCTTGACCTCTCATGAGGTCACTCCCCTAGGCTTTGAGAACCACTCCTTGAATATCATCTTGGAACGTGTAAAACAAACAACAAGAAGTTTGAAAGGGCTCAGGACTCTGCATTTGAAGAATCAAACTATACTATCTTCTGGGCAAGTCACTCCCCTCCTTGGACATGAGTTATTCCATTCATAAAAGGGAAGAACAGGGATAGATAAGCTTATAGGTCCCTTCTGCACCCAGGCTCTGCCTGATTCTGCTGAACCACAACTTCGGGAGGGTGGCCAAGAGGTCTTTCTGGTCCCTGGCTGACCGCTTTCATCTATTCCCTTAACCTGAGGTCTGAAAACACATTTTTTTTTTTTGGCTTCAAAATACAAAAAGAGAAAACTGAAAAATTGAAATAGATAAAAGTTTAATTAAATGTCTACATAATGGAATGTTATGTAAACATCATTGTTAAGGTTGATGTTCATACAAATTGTATTACACTTAAAAACAATTCGTTCCTTAGAATTACTCACCTTGAAAGGGTTTCCAAATACGTCCAGCGATTGCTAAGGCCTCATAGCCATGAGTTAGTCACAGCCAACCACAAGCAAAATCATTAAAACCTCTTTTAAACATACTACAGCAAATAATAATAATAATTAACGTGAAATGTGGGTGACTTTCAGTATGTTTGATAAAATGTGGGGTGAAATCTCCAAAAGGAAGAGCGTTCAGGGTCTTCAAAAGTCTTAGGATTACTCTAGAACCAGAGTATAGAACATGCACTCATATTTATAAATCACTTACTCTGTGCCAGGCTCTTCTGAAGCCCTTCCCATGCATTAACTCACTTAATTGGTGAGACAGTTCTTGAGGTAGACACAATTACCATTCCCATTCTACAGGTGAGGAAACTGGCTAAGCAAGTAAGTGGCACAGCTAGAATGGAAATCAATGGTGCCAGGGCTCATGTTCTCAGCCACCTTACCACATACAAAGCTTGCCATGCCGGGTGTTTCCCCAGGAGAAAACAAGTGCTGGCAGGTTGAGAAGGGAGGGAGGTGCATCTCCCTAATGAGGAGTGCACTTGACACTGCGTTAAATGGAACCCATTCCTCTCTCGGCTCTACTGCTACTTGCTAACTCCTCCGTGGTTCTCTTCTGCCCACAGAGGTCTCCTCTGTAGCTGACTCTCAGCCTTGCCTAATGCTATTAATAATAAAGAGGTGATGTTATTGAGAGCTCTATCAGCATTTTATATAGGACTTAATCTCATTCAATCCCCATGACCTCCATTTCATAAACAAGGGAATTGGGGGTTTAGAGAACTGAAACAATTTGTCCACAGTCACATAGCTCTCAGAAATAGTAGAAGCCAGGATTCACACTCCAATCTTATTCTAAAGCCCAAATTCTCTCTTTTTTTTTTTTGAGACGGAGTCTTGCTCTGTCTCCCAGGCTGGAGTGCAATGGCGCCATCTCGGCTCACTGCAACCTCTGCCTCCCAGGTTCAAGTGATTCTCCTGCCTCAGCCTCCTGAGTAGCTGGGATTACAGGCACCTGCCACCAGGCCCAGCTAATTTTTTGTATTTTTAGTAGAGATGGGGTTTCACCATGTTGGCCAGGCTGGTCTCAAAATTCTGACCTCGTGATCCGCCCACCTCGGCCTCCCCAAGTGCTGGGATTACAGGTGTGAGCCACCATGCCCGGCCCCAAATTATCTTTTAATTATAAAGATATACATATTGTTTAAACAATTCAATAAATATGTATACTGAATAACAAAGTGAAGCCTTCCCTTTACCACAATCAGCCTACTGTTCTCTCTCTATCTGAGGCTCTCTTCCTACGTTCCACTGTCCCAGACTTCTGCAAAGTATTTATGTATCTGTTTAGGTATCTGTCCATCTTTCCATTCTTTTCTCAATTATATATTCTCGTGGTTTCACTCTCCATGCGGCAACTCTACATCCAGGATCAAAACGGCATCAAAGGAAGCTTGGAACAGTGACAACCCCTACCTGAGATGTCTCCATTCCGGGGGAAGGCTGCCTGGTGCCTGATATCCATGAGATTAGGGAAAGCAGGTGGGGTCCTGTCCACCCCCTCTATTCCAGAACGCTTGGCAGGGTTTCTGTGGCTAACATGCCAGTTGTATCAACTCCCGCACAGTCTCATGTGAAGTGCCACACTACGTTCTCAACCTGGAAGGTTTCAGGGCTCAGCTGGCTCAGATCCCATGTGTGGGGAGCATTAAGAAAAATAGGCCACCTGTATAAGACTAGTGGCAAAAATCTGACTCGGTGCTACTTCTCTGTTTGTCCTTTACTTAAAAGGAGAACCATAATTAAAATGATCCAGAAAAGAGAACCAAGCAGGAGACTGAGTTGCTTGGGGAAAGGACCATGCTGCATTGATTTTTACATAACCAATGCCAGCAGTGCATCGGGTACACAACAGGTTCTCAATAAATTGTTAAATGGATAAGTTGATAGAATAAAAAACAAGGTCTCTTCCCACTGCTGCATGCAAAAAAGCTCAGAGTGAATTCTTATTTGCAAAGATGAGAGATTTTTAGTCTTCTGATGGCTGTTTCCTCCTCTCTGTTTTCTTTGCCACAGTTTAGGGGCAAAGAAAAGTTTCTACCTCTCTGAAATGGTAGGAGAAACCCTTGGGGCTTAGGTAGCAAATCAGGCTCTCTCTTTCACATGTTGTGAGAAAAGAAATATTTAACCATCAGCACCAACAATGTCATTTGCATAAGGGAGTGACTTCCTGGCTGAGAGATGGTCAGAATAACATAGAGCCTAGAGTGAAGGCAGTCAAGTTTGTGAGCCTAGGGCTCTGCTTCTGGTGTCTGCTTCATGGCTGTGTGATCTTGGGCAAGTTTCCTACATTTTCTGCTTCTCAGTTTTGTCATCCATAAAATGATAACAACAGTACCTGCCTCAAATAGTGTGTGGAAGAGGCTTAAACAAGCTAATGTAAGTCAAATCTTGAGCACAATCCCTGGTGTAGCTATACATGTTTGTGTATATATCAGAAGCTCAAAATTCTACCATTAGTATTAATAACATACTCTGGACCCTCATTATAATGCTATTCTCAATATCCCAACACTTGATTTCTATTGACAACTCCTAGGCTCAACTGTTCCTCCCACCTCAGCCTCCCGAGTAGCTGGGAATACAGCCACCATGGATGGCTAATTTTTAATTTTTTTTTTTTGTAGAGACAGGGTCTTGCTATGTTGCCCAGGCTGGTCTCAAACTCCTGGCCTCAAGAAATCCTCCCACCTGGACCTCCCCAACTGCTAGGATTTACAGGCATAGCCACCATGCCCAGCTCCCTTCCTCCCCTTTGTTCTCCTAACCCCATCTCAGCATCTGCCCCCGAGGACCAATGCAACAGGGCAATCAGTACATCTGTGAACTTCCCAACAGTCCTGTGGTGGACTAACCCAGGGACAATGGTCACTGTCCCCTCTGGTGCATTATTTGTCCCCATCAGCCTAGTAAGCTCCGGGGGCTGGCAGCTGGCACAGAGTACGAGGCTGCACTCCTTGACCTTTCTATGCTGCACACAGTCCTGTGCCCATCCTGTCCTCAGATCTGCCAGGGCCATGACCAACCTGCCAAGAGCGTGGGAATTGGTATGTGACCCAGCTCTAGGAGGAGGTGGAGCAAGCGAATGTAGGGGAAGCTGCTCCCCCAGTAGGTTTAGAGGGAGGGTGGGGAGGGGGTGCAGAAGGGCCAGGTGGGTGAGGGTGTGCGGGTAAGGGTGTGGGGGTGTGCAGGTGAGGGTGTGCAGGTGTGGGTGGGGGTGTGTGGGTGAGGGTGTGTGGGTGTGGGTGGGGGTGTGTGGGTGTGGGTGAGGGTGTGTGGGTGGGGGTGGGCGGGTGAGGGTGTGGGGGTGAGGGTGTGTGGGTTAGGGTGTGAGTGCCTGTCTGGCTCTCCTGGGTGGGGCTGGATGAATGTTTGGGCACAGGCAGCGGCTGTCACATGGCCTGGCTGCAGGTTTGGGACAGAAGCCAGGCGGGTGGGCTGTGTCAGGCACAGCTACAAACTGTGCCAAGGAAGTGGACCAGAGCAGGGGCCCAGGGAAACCTCTGCCTTAGCAGAAGATACTGGGGAGACGGGATCAATCGGGGAGGTCTTCCGAGGCACATGGTGCTTCATGGAGCCATGGCCCAGGACAGGGAGGGTGTAACCCTGGCTTGCCTGATTGGCTGAGCACAGACAGATAGAAGAGGGTGTGGGCAGCCCGCTAGGTGGATGCCTAAGTGAGGAAGGAATGGGTGGCCAGGTGACTGAGACCCCCAAGACCAGGACCCCGCTGTCAGGTCTGTGGCTTCCAAACGCCTGTGGGAAGTGTTCCCCTTTGGACACTGAGGCCATCAGCTTCAGCTTCACACCCTTTTCCAGAAAAAGTCCCTCGGGTAACCTCAAAAGTCACTTCTGGCCTTCCCCAGAGGGGAAAGGAGAGGGGTGCCTGTGGGCAGGTGACCCTCAGTGCTGGTGGAGGGCACAGCAGAGAGACTGCCTGTATGTGGGAGGCCCCCAGCAGACCTTGCCCAGATGCCAGCCCTCATTTGAGGCAAACTGTAAAATTATTACAATTTAGGCCAGGCGCAGTGGCCCATGCCTGTAATCCCAGCACTTTGGGAGGCCATGGCAGAAGGACTGTCTGAGCCTGCAGTGAGCTATGACTACACCCCTGCACTTCAACCTGGTCAACAGAGGAAGACACTGTATCTAAAATAAATAGGCTTGGCATGGTGGCTCACACCTGTAATCCCAGCACTTTGGGAGGCCGAGGCAGGTGGATCACCTGAGGTGAGGAGTTCGAGACCGGCATGATCAATATGGTGAAACCTCATCTCTACTAAAAACACAAAAATTAGCCGGTCGTGGTGGCCCGTGCCTGTAATCCCAGCTACTCAGGAGGCTGAGGCAGGAGAAATCGCTTGAACCCAGGAGGCAGAGGTTGCGGTGAGCCAAGGTCACGCTACTGCACTCCAGCCTGGGCGACAGAGTGAGACTCCACCTCAAGATAATAAATAAGATGGGAAAGCTACGTTCCTAACATTTTTCAAATGATAATTCATACTAAAGAATGTTACCAAGACTAACGCACAAAGCATTTTATAACTTTTAGACTATTAATAAAAAGTAAGACATGAAAACTGAAGTATTTGTAATCATGCTTAATATTGGAAGTTCCTATACCTGCAATGTAGCAGCTAATTATACAAAAATTTAATAAACGACAAAATAAAATTTTGCAAACAGATTTGTAAAAACCAGAAAGAAATTTGTATTGGCAATTAATGTAACATAATTAAAAATAATTTGTTATGGTCATCTGCTAAATGCTAATTAATGTAAAATGTTAAAAGATTATTTTAATTATGACATCTTAATTTTTAATGGCTTTAAATATTATAAATATAAAAAACAGGTTTCTAAATTTAAAAGAAAAATGACTAAATTTTTCAGAATTATTTCGTATTTCTTGTCATACAACATAAGAACACCATCCATGTTTCCTTTTAGATTAGGAACCCTCCCTTATTAGCTCACTGAAAGGAGAATGCTGGAAGGTGCTAGTAAGATGACTGTCTAAGGACTCCAGAACTGAAAGAATGGTTTTGTGGCAATGCATGTCACTTCCCTAACTCAACTGGAAAAGGAGAAAAAAACCTAGTGTTTTCAACCCTCAAGCTAGCAAGAAAACACAGCCCAGGTAAGTTCATCTCTTCTCCAATGGAGCTGGAGTCTACTCAACAAGAGGTGACCATTTAGAATAGAATTGTTCAGAAGTTTGCTAACAATAAGCAGCCAACATAGACACATTCTCCATTAAATCTAAAATTCCCTTTTCCCCCACTAGGGTGCCTGAGGGGCATGTAGCAAAAGTGATCCCAACCACACCACGCAAACTAGCCAGGAAACCTTTTTGCCTTCACACATCTGAGAGTCCCTGAGAAGCCGGAGACAACACGGAGGCAGCAGAACACCAACAGGAGAGTCCCAGCATCACTTCCTGGCCATAGAAGCCCTCCTGAGCAGCAGGCAGAACAGAATCCACTACAGCAATCAGCCTGCCAGAGAAGCCTCTGCCCCTGTGGCCTGAGGTTCCACTTTCCCCAGGTGACACCATGGGCAGGTGGGCTGAAGAAGTGGGAAGGTCAAATCAACTGGCCCAGCCAGGATGCCTCTTTGATGATACAAGTGATACCGGTCTAAGCCTCCCCTCTTCCGCAGGGAAACTAGGTGGCCCAAAGGGTGCCCAGAGGCAGGGGACCTGCCACAGCAGCCATCCTCCTGAGAGGTTCCCTTTCTTCCCCTTGGTGAACTCCCTCCAACACACAGCTTGCCAGCAAAGCACCCTTTGTCTTACATGGGGGGATCCCACCACACCAAAACCCAGCCAAAGAAGCCTTTTGTCCTTTAAGGGTTATCACAACCAAAAACAAAAAGATACACAATAGTAAGCCCCTAAATTCTGTTAAGAATGAAACAGTGCTGCCACTCACACCTGGCTCAGATGCCAGCAGGAGGGCACCCACCAGAGACCGCAGGAGAAGGGGGCGGACTCCTTGCTCTGGCTGCACCTCCACCACTGTCACTGAGGCCTGTGGTACAGAACCAGCAGCTTCTTACCCACCCCAGGCCGGACCGGGCCCCAAAGCTCTCCTACTCCCCCTTCCTGGCCCCTAGACTTGCTGCTGCTGCCACCATTAGCGCCGATGCCAAAGGAACCAGCGCTGCTGTCACCCTCCATGCACCTGCCCACCCTCCAAGGCTCCTACCACTTGGCCTCCACGGGTACCCTCCTACCGCTCCTGTTGAGCTGCCGTCTCCATCACCGTGGCCGCCACAACAGCAGGAGATGAATCACAGAGCTGTGCCATCTTCAGGCTCCAACCTCCAGTCACCACAGGGGACTCCTCCTTCATCAGCCTGGCTTGGAGTAGCTGGGCAGACAATGCCAGAAAAACCTACAACAGGATGCAGAAAGTGGCAGTGTTAGAGCCTCACCTTGTCATGCTGGCCACTGGGTGGCTGGGGCCAGTTTCAGCAAAGGCACTCACACCCACCCTCCAAAGTCCAGCCTCTCCTCCTAGACCAAGCTGGCCTCCTGACCTGGGGTGGGGACTGGAGACACCACAGTGCCCGGGGCTCCTTGGGGAGCAAGAATAGCAGAAACTCAGACCCAGCCAGTCTTCCCCACCCAAGTACCAGTTCCCATTCCTGAATCCTCCACCCACAGGACCCTGAGCCTCCGTGGTGCCCACTACTCCATGCCTGGGGCTCCCAGATAGTCTCCACAACACAGAGCAAGAGGGCAAGGGCTGGGTAACCATGGTGGGTGTGAGGGCCCTGCGGTGGTCAGAGGATTGCTGCGAAAACTCTGTGCACCCTCCGTGCTCCAACACGAGCAGAAATTGTTCACCCTCTAGAGCCTTGAGTCCGGGAAGAGGAGAAGGGCCCCTTCCTCAGAGGCCACCACTGTCGTGGCCACCTCCACAACCTGCTGCTGGCAGCAGAAGTGCAACCTCCCCCCATAGCGCCCCTAACCTGCCCCCCCCCACCACAAACTTAGCCCCTGGATTGTGCACACAACACACCCAGAGACTGCTGCAGGCAGTGTAACCCTGATAGCGCCCCCAAACCACCCCTCTGCTCCTGGCAGTGTAACACTCGATAGTGTCCACAACCCATCCCCACCACGGGTGTTGCAGCACCAAATAGTGCCCCATCAAACCTGCCCCCCACCCGGACCACAAGCAGCACAGCCCCAGATAGCACCCCCAATCTGCTCCTGTCGCGGGCAGTGAACGCCAGGGGTAGTGCACCCAACCAACCCCCCGACCCCACCTTCCCCTTTCCCCCACGGACAATGCAACATTTGACAGCTCCCCTAAAGCACCCCCGACTGCCTGCCAGTTGGCATTGCTGCTGACATTGTAGCTCACGATAGCTCACCCAACCCGCCCCCTGGATCGGCCAGTGCAGCAGCTAATAATGCCCCTAACCCCCCGCCACTTGCCGCTGGTAGTGCACGACAGCACACACAACCTGCCTCCAACCCCCCGCCACCTTAGGCAGTGTAGACCCTGATAGCGCAGCAAACCTGCCCCACTGCCAGCAATTCAACACCCGATAGCGCCACCCACCAGCCACCCACGGCAGGCAGTGCAGCCCCAAAAGCACACCAAACCCACTCCCCCACCACCCCACAAGCGGGCAGTGCAGCCGCAGAGAGCGCACCTACCCTGCCACCTTTCTACTACTTGACAGAGATGCAGTCTCCGTCGCCACCACCAACCGCAGCCAGGCGAGCCGCCAGGGCCAAGGCTCCAGCCGCCAGCATTGGGCATGGTCCCCACCTTCTCCTAGACCTCTAGCTGGTCAAGAGCAGCTCCAGCTGCCAGCCACCCCCCTACCGCTCCGGCTGCCAGCCACCCCCCTACCGCTCCGGCTGCCATCTTACTGCTCCAGCCTCCCGCCTAGCGCTCCGGCCGCCATCTTACTGCTCCAGCCCCCCTCCTACTGCTCAGACTACCCTCCTACCGCTCAGGCCGCCCTCCTAAGACTTCAGCCGCGCTGCCATCTCTGTTGCCACCACCATCCAGAGCGAGACGAGCCATGGTGTTACAGGCTCCAGCCTCCAGCTCCCCCTTCTCCTGGTCCTCTAAGCCGGGAACAGAGCAGCTCGGCAGGAGATACTGGAGAGCCTAAACTGGCGTGAGGCCTCCTCAACATGCACATGGGGTTACGTGGGTGGTTTCTGGACTACATGTTCTGATTGGGTGAGAGAAAACCTCTAGGCCTTCTCTGATTGGACTTTATTTTCATACTCTGATTGGTTGTCCTAAGACTTTCTTTCATCCAATCAGAACATAACAAAGTCCAATCAGAGTAGGCCTCCAGGCTTTCTCTTATCCAGTCCTGGAACGTGTAGTCCAGGAACGGCATATGCATAACTTCAGTACATAAGTGGTGCTGAAGAAGAGTCAGGCCACTCCAGGTTCTTCTGTGTCTGCTCACTGAGCTGCTCCAAGCCCGGCTTAGAGGACCAGGACAGACTGGAGGCTGTAGCCTGCAGCACTGTGGCTTGGCCTCCCTGCAGTTGGTGGCGACAGAGACTGTAGTGTGGCTGGAGCGGTAAGAAGGGGAAAATACTTTTGGGATAGATGGAAGGGTAAAGAGGGTGGTTAGTGCCAAAAGGAAAAAAGGATGGTGAGCCGGAGAAGGCATTGCATAAAGACAGTAAGGAAAAGATGTTGGGGGGAAAAAATGGGGGGTAGATGGAGGGGGAAAAACAGGGTGGTGAACAGGAGGGAGAGAAGGTTTCACAGAAAGGCAGTGGGGAAAAAGTTTTTGGGTAGATGGAAGGGGGTAAGAGAGGGTCGTGAGGGGGGAACAGGGATGAGCAGGAAGGAGAGAAGGTTTGCAAAAATACGGTGGGGAGAAAAGAAAGGGAAAGAAGACTGTGGGTAAAAAGATTTTGAGTGGATGGAGGGGGGAAAAGGGTGACAAGTGGGAGGAGAAAAGAGGGTGCAGAGAGGGAGGGGGAAGAGAGAGTGGCGAGCAGGAGGGAGAGAAGGTTTTGCGAAAAGACAGTGAGGAGAGAAGCTTTTAGGTAGATGGAGGGGGGAAGAGGGTGGCCATTGGGAGAAAGATAAAGAGGGTGGCGAGTGGGAAAGAGAAAAGGTTTTGCGAAAAGACGATAGGCAGAAAAGAAAGTGTAGAAAGAAAAGACAGTGGGTAAAAAGTGTTTGGGTAGATGGAGGGGGAAAAGAGGGTAGCAAGTGGGAGGAGAATAGAAAGTGTGGCCAAAGGGAGTGGGGAAAGAGGACTGGGAAAAAGGCGATGGGGAAAATAGTTTGGGGTAGATGGAGGGCAAAAAGAGGGTGGCAAGCAGGATAGAGGAAAGAAGAGGGCGAGCGGGAAGCAGGGAAGGCTTTGTGAAAAGATGGCAGGGAAAAATTGGGGAGGTAGATGGGTTAAAAGAGCGTGGTGAGCAGGAGTAGAGAAGAGGCTTTGCAAAAAGACGGCGGGAAAATGTTTTTGGGTAGATGGAGAAGGGAAAGGGTGGCAAGGAGGAAGGGAGAAAAAGACAATAGGGAAACAGTTTTTGGGTAGATGGAAGGGGAAAGAGGGTGGCGAGCAGCAGGAGTGGGGAGAAGGCTTTGGGAGAAGATGAGGGAAATGTTTTTGGGGAGATGAAGGAGCAAAAGAGGATGATGAGAACGGGAGGCGGAAAAAAGGGTGGCCAGGGAGAGGGAGAAAAGACGGTGGGGAAAAGTTTTGGAGTAGATGGGTGGGGAAAACGGAAGTGAGTGGTAAAGTATAGAAGGCTTTGCAAAAAGACAGTGGGGAAAAAATGGTGGGGAAAAAGTTTTGGGGTAGATGGAGGAAGAAAAAGGGTGGCAAGAGAGGGAGCCAAAGACGGTCGGCAAAAAAATTCCTCCTGTTACTGATTTTTTAATACTTTTCCACTCCGGTCAGAAAAAATAATTGATATGATTTCAGGGTTTTTTTGTTTTGTTTTGTTTTGCTTTGGTTTGGTTTGGTTTGGTTTTTTGAGATGGAGTCTCGCTCTGTTGCCCAGGCTGGAGTGCAGTGGTGTGATCTTGGCTCACTGCCACCTCCACCTCCCGGGTTCAAGCCATTCTTTTGCCTCAGCCTCCTGAGTAGCTGGGATTACAGGCATGCGCCACAACGCCCAGCTAATTTTGCATTTTTAGTTCTAAATGGGGTTTCTCCATGTTGGTCAGGCTGGTCCCAACCTCTGTTGATTGGCCCACCTCTGCCTTCCAAAGTGCTGGGATTACAGGTGTGAGCCACCACATCTGGCAAGGATGTTGAATTTTGTTGAATTTTTTTTCTGCATCTATTGAGATAATCATATGATTTTTGTTTTAAATTCCGTTTATGTGGTAAATCACATTTATTGATTTGCATATGTTAAATAGTCCTTGCATCCCAGGAATAAAACCTATGTAATCACGATGAGTTACATTTTTGATATGCTGATGGATTTGGTTTGCTAGCATTTTGTTGAGGATATTTGCATCTATGTTCATCAGCTATTGGCCTGTAGTTTGTTGTTGTTGTTTCCTTGCTAGATTTTAGTGTCAGGATGATATTGGTTTTGTAGAATGAGTTAGAGAGGAATTCCTTCTCCTCAATGTTTTAGAATGGTTGCAGTAAGATTGATACCATCTGTTTTTTTGTATGGTAAAATTCAGCTGTGAATTCATCTAGTTCTGGGCTTCTCCTGCTTGATAAATATTTTTATTACAAATTCAATTTCATAATTAACTACTGGTCTGTTCAGATTTTTTTAAATTTATAGAGAAAAAATATTTATTTGGTTTATAGTTGTGCAGGCAGTAGAAGCATGGGACCAGCACCTGCTCAGGTTTGGATGAGACCTCAGAAAGCATCCAATCACAGAGGAAGGCAAAGGGAGGGCCAGTGTATCACGTGTCAAGAGAGAAATCAAGAGCAAGAAGGGGAACATGGCAGGCTGTTTTAAACAACCAGCTCTCGTGTGACACAACAGAGCAAGGACTCGCTTATCGCCAAGGGGATGGAGCTAAGCAATTTATGAAGGGTCCACCCCCATGATTCAACACCTTCAACTAGGCCCACCACCAACATTTAAGATCACAGTCAACAAGAAATTTGGAGGGTAAACACATCCAAACAATGTCATTTCACCCCTATGGCCCCCAAATCTCATGTCCTTCTCATATTGCACAATTATCCTCTCCCAGTAGTCCCTAAAAATCTCAAGCTGTTTCAGCATCAACTCAAAAGTCCGAAGTCTCATCTGAGCTTCAAGGTATGTTCCTCCATCTATGAGCCTATAAGATCAAAACCAAGTTATTTGCTTCCAATATTCAATGCAGTACAGGTGTTGGGTAAATATTCCCATTCCTAAATGGAGAAGTTGGGCAAAAGAAAGGGGCAACAGGCCTCAGGCAAATCTGAAACCCAGTAGGGCAGACATTAAACTTTCAAGCTCCAAAATAATTCTTGATTTCATGTCCTGCATCCAGGGCACACTTGTGCAAGGGGTGGATTCCCAAGACCTTATGCAGCTCTGCCTCTGTGGCTTTGCAGTGCACAGTCACCATGGCTGCTGTCTTGGATCAGAGTTGAGTGCCTGTGGTATTTCTAGGCTCAGGATGAAAGCTTCCCGTGGCTCTACCATTCAGGGATCTCGAGGTGGCGGCCCCATTCCCACAGCTCCAGTAGGTAGTGCCCCAGTGGGGACTCTGTGTGGAGGCTTCAATCCCACATTTCCTATTGGCACTGCCCTAGTGGACTTTTGGTTTCTTTCTGATTCAGTCTTGGAAGGTGGTGTGTTTGCAGGAATTTATCCGTTTTCTCTAGGTTTTCTAGTTTATGCTCACAAAGATATTCTGAGGATCTTTTTTTATGTCGGTGGTATCCTTTGCAATGTCTCATTTGTCATTTTTGACTGTGCTTATTTGAATCTTCTTTTTTTCTTGCATAATCTAACTAGCAATCTATCATTTTTATGTGTACTTGCAAAGAACCAACTTTTTAATTTTGCTGATTCCTTGTATGGTTTTTTTGGTCCCGATTTCATTAACTTATTCTCTAACTTTTGTTATTTCCTTCTACTAGCTTTGGGTTTGGTTTGTTCTTTTTTAGTGTGTTTGGCTATTTTAGCTTGTTAATTTGAGATCTTTCTCTCTTTTTATGTAGGCATTTAGTGTTATAAACTCTCCTCTTAACATTGTTTTTTCTGTATCCCAGACGTTTTGGTATGTTACGTTTCTATTTTCATTTGTTTCAGGAATTTCTTTAAATTTCTGCCTTAATTCTGTTATTTACACAAAAGTCATTAAGGAGCAGATTGTTTAGTTTCCATGTACCTCTGTGGTTCTGAGAGTTCTTGATATTGACTTCTAATTTTATTCCACAGTGGTCTGAGAAGATACTTAATATAGTTATGACTTTTAAAAATTTATTGAGGCTTATTTTATGACTGAGCATGTGGTCAATTTTAGGGAATGTTCCATGTGCAAATGAGAAAAATGTACATTCTGTGGTTTCTGGGTAGAGTATTCTGTAGATATCTATTAGGTCTGTTTGGTCAAGAGCCCAATTTGAGTCCACAGTTTCATTGTTAGTTTTCTGCCTAATAATCTGCCTAACTAATAATCTGCTTACTACTGTCGGTGGGGTGTTGAAGTCCTCCATGATTATTGTACAGCTGTGTATCTCTTTTCTTAGGTCTAGTAATATTTATTCTAAAAATCCGGTTGCTTCAATGTAGGCTGCATATATATTTGAGACAGTTAAGTCTTCTTGTTGAATTGAACACTTTATCATTATATAATGCCATTCTTTGTATTTTTTTTGTACTGTTGTTAGTTTAATGTCTGTTTTATCTGATACAAGAATAGCAATACCTCTCTGTTTTTGTTTTTCATTTATGTGATGAATCTTTTTCCATCCATTTACTTTGAGCCTGTTGGTATCATTACACATGAGATGGGTCTCTCAAAGGCAGCAGAAGTGTCTTGTTTTTTTATTCAGTTTGCCACTCTGTGTCTTTTAAGTGGAGCATTTCAGCCATTTGCACTCAAGCTTAATATTGATGTGTTAGGTTTTCTTCCTTTTATAGCATTAGCTAGTTACCTTGTAGTCTCAATTGTTTAATTGCTTTATAGGTTCCGTACATTTTGTATTCATGTATGCTTTTATGGTAGCAAGTATCATTCTTTTATTTTCACTAGTGAAACTCCTTTAAACATTTCTTTTAGAGTCAGTCTGGAGGTAATGACTTCCCTTAACATTTTCTCGTCTGGAAATACCTTATTTTCCTTTCTTTATGAAGCTCAGTCTGGCAGGTTATGAAATTCTTGCGTGGCTGGGTGCAGTGGCTCATGCCTGTAACCCTAGCACTTTGGGAGGCTGAGGCAGGCAGATCACCTGAGGTCAGGAGTTCAAGACCAGCCTGGCCAATATGAAGAAACTCCATCTCTATTAAAAATTAGAATTTGCCAGGCGTGGTGGCGGAAATCTGTAATCTCAGCTACTGGGGAGGCTGAGGCAGGAGAATTGCTTGAACCCAGGAAGCGGAGGTTGCAGTGAGCTGAGATCACACCACTGCACTCCAGCCTGGGTGGCAAAGTGAGACTCTGTCTCCAAAAAAAAGAAATTATTGGATGGCATTTTTTTTTTCTTTAAGAAGGCTAACACTAGGCCCCAATCTTTTCTAGGTTGCAGGGTTTCTGCTGATAAGTCTGTTGTTAATCTAATTTACTTCATAGGTAATTTGGCCCTTTCTTTGAGCTGCCTTTAATATATTTTCTTTTGCATTGACCACGGCTATTCTAATGACTGTGGATGCCTTAGGAATGGGCATCTTGTTTACTATGCCACAGGTGTTCTCTGAATTTCTTATATCTGAATATCAACCTTTCTAGCAAGACTAGCGAAATTTTCCTAAATTATTCCCTTAAATATACTTTCCTAGTTGGTTGCTTTTTATTCTTCTGTTGTAGTAATGCCAATAAGTTATAAGTTTGGTCACTTTACATAATCTCATATTTCTTAAGGGCTTTGTTTTTCAGTTCTTTTTTCTTTTATTTTTGTCTGACTGGGTTACTTTGAAAGACCAGTTTTCAAAATCTAAAATTATTTCTTCTGCTTAGTCTAGTTTATTGTTAAAGATTCCAACTGTGTTTTGAAATTCCATTAGTGAATGTTTTAATTCCAGAAGCTCTATTTGTTTTTTTCTTAATCCAGCTATTTATTTTTCCATATTTCAAATTGTACTTAATGATTGTTTTGCACATAAAATTAATGTATACATGATTAATGCTTTAAAGGAACTAAGCACCCACCAGACTCAAGAAAAAGTGATGACCTATGATACATCTGAAAAAAATTTAACCTTTCTATTAATTACAGTTATGCAAATTAAGATAATATGTATTTTTGTCTAGCAAAATAAAATATAAGTATCAGTTTTGGTGAAGCAAAAGCATAATGGACATTAATTTGCCGATTGGTGCTGAAAGTATAAATTGATTCAACATTTTGCAGGGATGTTAGTCAATAAGTGTGAAAATTATATACTAATATCTCTTTACACAGTAATTAAAGTGCTAGGACTTTTTGAAAAGAAAACATGTCTCAATGTGCCCAGATTTGTTTCTGTGAAATGTTTATAAAAAATATTGTTCATTGAAAGCAATACAATATTTAACAATAGAGAGAGTAGGCCTGTAAATCATGGAATTTATTCAACAGGGGATGCCTGAAGAGGGTCTAAAAATAATCTATATGTTTAAATAAATAAATTAAAAGAAATTTATTTTAAAATCCTACATTTAATTATATTAAAAATTATCAATTTACGTGATAGGATTATTGGTAAATTTGAATTTTTTTAGCATTTGTGTTCCTTTATGTGCCAATTTTTCTATTACTGTCTTTTACTCCTTTTGTAGATAAAATATACTGTTTTAACATAAAATAAATGTCATTCATAATTTCTTATACAGTAAGAACATTTTTTTGAGACAGGTTCTTGCTCTGTCACCCAGGCTGGAGTGCAATCATAGCTCACTGCAGCCTCAGCTTCCCAAGATCAAGCTATCTTCCCACCTCAACCTCCCAAGTGTCTGGGACCATGGCTGTGCACCACCATACCTGGCTAACTTTTAAAGAAAGATTATTGTAGAGCCAGTGTCTCACTGTGTTGCCCAGGCCAGTCTCAAACTCCTGGGTTCAAACAGTCCTCCTCCCTCAGCCTCCACAAAGTGTTGGGATTACAGGCGTAAGCCAATGCACACAGGCAGAGCTTTTTTTAAAAAAAGTATGCAATATATTTGGTCTTTAAAAAATGTTTTTGTTTGAAGAGCAAGGTACTCATGCAGGAAAATAATCCAATTTATGGTGCAGTTTAATTTAAAATGAAATCACTTGGCATTATTAAAAAATAAAATTTTGCCCAGGCACAGTGGCTTACTCCTGTAATCCCAGCATTTTGGGAGGCCAAGGCAGGTGGATCACCTGAGGTCAGGAGTTTGCGACCAGGCTAACATGATGAAACCCCATCTCTACTAAACACACACACACACACACACACACAAATAGCCGGCTGTGGTGGCGCATGCCTGTAATTGGAGCTACTTGGGAGGCTGAGACAGGAGAAATCACTTGTACCTGGGAGACGGAGGTTGCAGTGAGCCGAGATCGCGCCATTGCACTCCAGCCTGGGCAACAAGAGTGAAACTCTGTTTTTAAAAAAATTGAAATTAAAATAAATAAAATTTCGAGTGTCCATTTGTTACCAAGAAAATAATTTAGAAAAACATTATTCTAATGCAATCTACAATTGTGTAGAATCACTGTAGAATATGCCACAGCATACTGTTGAGTTTTATTTGCTATTAAGATTAAGTGGGGCCGCACGGCCAGACAGGCCCTCCTCCTGAGGCCGGGCAGGCTGCACGCCTGCAATCCTGCCCCTGTGGTCCTGGGGCAGCCCGGACCAGCTCAGGAGAACCCGCGAGCCCAGCGGCGCCTGCCCTGGGCTGGAGCCCTGCTTGCCGGCGCACCGGCTGGGAGCGGCTTCTGGGAGCCGGGCGGCCCCCGCGGTGCAGGCGCGCTGCTAATGGCCTTGCGAGGCTCACTGGGTCTGAGAGGTCAGAGGCTGCGAGTGTCGCTGCTGAAGGCTGTGGTGGACCCGGCTGGATTGCGGATTCTGGGCTAGATCGCAGATTTGGGATCACGGATTGGGGATTGGATCGCGGATTGGGGGTTGGATCGGGGATTTGGAGATGGATCGGGGATTTGGGGCTGGATTGGGGATTTGGGGCTGGGTTGGGGGCAGTGAAAAGGTGACAGGGAGTTGCCGCGGCTCAGGAGCCGGTGGTCGGGTGTCTGAGAAGACTACAGGCGCCCGCCACCACGCCCAGCTAATGTTTGTATTTTTAGTAGAGACGGGGTTTCACCGTGTTGGCCAGGCTGGTCTCAAACTCCTGACCTCGTGATCTGCCCGCTTCGGCCTCCCAAAGTGCTGGGATTACAGGCGTGAGCCACTGCGCCCCGCTATCACTTCCTTTCTTATCTGTGTACCTTATCTGTATACCCGGCCTTATCACTACTATTATGGGTTTTTTTTTTATTTTTTGTTGTTATCGTTTTTTTTTTTTTTTTGAGATGGAGTCTCGCTCTGTCGCCCAGGCTGGAGGTCAGTGGCGGAGCAGTGTTCTCCTCAGCACAGACCCGGGCGGGCCAGGGTCTCCACGAGGGCGGAGCGGCGTTCTGCTCAGCACAGGCCCGGGGGACACTGCGAAGGCAGAGCCGCGTTCTCCTCAGCACAGACCTTGGGGGCACTGCCTCGCTTTGGGACAACTCCGGGCTGCATCCACGGTGAATAAAATCCTTCCTGTTTGCAGCCCTGAATAATCAGGGTCAGAGACCAGTTAGAAGGGTTCAGTGTGGAAAACGGGAAACCAAAAGCCCCTCTGAATCCTGCCCACCGAGGTTCTCCCCAGCCAAGGCGAGGCGGCCACAGTGCAAGATTCACACCGCAGCCTCGGAAGACAAATGCGGCATTCCTAATGCAGACATGACACCCAAAGTATGACACCCCCATTGCTCATGTAACAAGCACCTGTAATGCTAATGCACTGCCTCAATACAAAAATATTAATATAAGATCCGCAATCCCCTCGCTGCCCTGCAGTCCTAAGACAGCGATCATAATAATCAACATTGACATAGTCAATACAAACGTAGTAACGAACCTAGGGTTAAGTTGGTGTTAGGGTTAGGGGTTAGGGGTTAAGTTTAGGGTTAGGGGTTGGAAATAAGGGCTGGGGTCAGAGTTAGGGGTTAGGAGTCAACGTTTAGAGTTAGGGGTTAAGAGAGGTTAGTGGTTTGGGATTAGGGGTTAGGGTTGGGTTAGGGTGAGGGTTGTGGTTAGGGGTTAGGGTTACAGGTTAGGGTTAGGATCAGGGGTTGGGGTCAGGGTTAGGGGTCAGGGTCAGGGATCAGGGTCAGGGTCAGGGGTCCCACTCTGTGGGTTGTCTATTTACTCTGCTGACTGTTCCCTTTGCCATGCTAAAGCTCTTTAGTTTAATTAAGTCCCAGCTATTTATCTTTGTTTTTATTGCATTTGCATTTGGCTTCTTGGTCATGAAATCCTTGCCTATGCCAATGTCTAGAAGGGTTTATCCAGTGTTAACTTCTAGAATTTTTATAGTTCAGGAATTAGGTTTAAGTTCTTAATCCATCTTGAGTAGATTTTTGTATAAGGTGAGAGATGAGAATCCAGTTTTATTCCCCTACATGTGGCTCGCCAATTATCCCAACATCATCATGTGTTGAAAAGGTGTCCTTTCCCCACTTTATGTTTTTGTGTACTTTGTCGAAGATCAGTTGGCTGTAAGTATTTGGGTTAATTTCTGGGTTCTCTCTTCTGTTCCATTGGTCTATGTTCCTATTTTTAAACCAGTACCATGCTGTTTTGGTAACTATGGCCTTATTGTACAGTTTGAAATCAAGTAGTGTGATGCCTCCAGGTTTGTTCTTTTTGCTTAGCCTTGGTTTGGCTACATGGCTCTCTTTTGGTTCCATATTAATTTTAGAATTGTTTTTGTAATTCTGTGAAGAATGACGGTGGTATTCAGATGGGGATTGCATTGAATTTGTAGATTGCTTTTAACAGAATGGTAAATTTCACAATATTGGTTCTACCCATCCATGAGCATGGGGATGCATTTCCATTTGTTTGTATCGTCTATGATTTCTTTTCTTTCTTGTGTTTTTTTTTTTTTTCCAGAGGGAGTTTCAGTCTTGTCGCTGAGGTGGGAGTGCAATGGTGTGATCTCGGCTCACTACAACTTCTGCCTCCCAGGTTCAAGCGATTCTCCTGTCTCAGCTTCCCGAGTAGCTGGGATTATAGGCATGCGCCACCGTGCTTGGCTCCATCCATGATTTCTTTCAGCAGTGTTTTGTAATTTTCATTGTAGAGGTCTTTTGATTCCTTTGCTAGGTATATTCCTAAGTTTTGTTTTTTGTTTGTTTGTTTGTTTGTTGCAGCTATTGTAAAAGGGGTTGAGTTCTTGATGTGATTCTCTGCTTGGTAGCTGTTGATGTATAGAAGAGCTGCTGCCTTGTGTCTGTTAATCTTGTATCTGGAAACTTTGCTGAATTCTTTTATCAGTTCTAGGAGCTTTCTAGAGGAGTCCGTAGGGTTTTCAAGGCGAAAGATCATATCGTCAGCAACCAGTGACAGTCTGACTTCCTCTTTACCGATTTGGATTTCCTCTATTTCCTTCTTTTGTCTGATTGCTCTGGCTAGGACTTCCAGTACTTTGTTGAAGAGGAGTAGTGAGAGTAGGCTCCTCGTCTTGTTTCAGTTCTCAAAGGGAATGCTTTCACCTTTTCCCCATTCAGTGTTATGTTGGCTGTGGGTTTGTCATAGATGGCTTTTATTACATTAAGGTATGTCCCTTGTATGCCTATTTTGCTGAGAGCTTTAATCATAAAGCAATGCTAGATTTTGTCAAATGCTTTTTCTGCATCTGTTGATATAATCGTGTGAGTTTTTTAAATTCTGTTTATTTGGTGTATCACATTTATTGATTTGCATATGTTAAACCATTCCTGTATCACTGGTATGAAACCCACTTGATCATGTTGGATTATCTTTTTGATATGTTGTCAGATTCAGTTAGATAGTATTTTGTTAAGGATTTTGGCATCTGTGTTCATCAAGGATATTGGTCTGTAGTTTTCTTTTTTGGTTATGTCCTTTCATGGTTTTGGTATTAGGGTGATGCTGGCTTCATAGAATGAATCAGGGAGGGTTTCTTCTTTCTCTGTCTTGTGGAATAGTGTGAAAGGATTGGTATCATTTCTTCTTTGAATGAAGGAAGACATTCTTTGAAGTCTGGTAGAGTTCTGCTGTGAATCTGTCTGGTCTTCGGCTTTTTTTGTTGGCAATTTTAAAATTACCATTTCAATCTTGCTGCTTGCTTTATTGGTCTGCTTGGGGTATCTAATTCTTCCTGATTTAAGCTAGGAGGGTTGTATTTTTCCAGGAATTTATCCAACTCTTCTAGGTTTTCTAGTTTATGTGCCAAAAGGTGTTCATAGTACCCTTGAATAACCTTTAATATTTCAGTGGTGTCAGTTGTAATATCCCCTGTTTCATTTCTTAGTGAGGTTATTTGGATTTTCTCTCTTCTTGGTTAATCTTGCTAATGGTCTATGAATTTTATTTATCTTTTCAAATAACCAACTTTTTCTTTTATGTTTTGTATTTTTTGTTGTTGTTGTTGTGTCAATTTCATTTAGTTCTGCTCTGATCTTGGTTATTTCCTTTGTTTGCTGGGATTGGGTTTGGCTTGTTCCTGTTTCTCTAGTTCCCTGAGATGTGAACTTAGATTGTCTGTTTGTGCTCTTTCAGACTTTTTGACGTCGGTGTTTAGGGCTACAAACTTTCCCCTTAGCATTGCCTTTGCTGTTTCCCAGAGGTCTTGATAGGTTGTGTCATCCAGTTTGAAGAAATTTTTTACATTTCCATCTTGATTTTGTTTTTCACCCAATGCTCATTCAGGAGCAGGTTATTTAAATTCCATGTATTTGCATGGTTTTGAAGATTCCTTTTGGAGTTGATTTTCAGTTTTATTCCACTGTGATCTGAGAGAGTGCATGATACAATTTCAATTTTCTTCAATTTACTGAGACTCATTTTATGACCTATCATGTGGTCTATCTTGGAGAAAATTCCATGTGCTGTTGAATAGAATGTGTATTCTGTGGTTGTTGGATGAAATGTTCTGTATGTATCTGTTAAGTCCATTTGTTCCAAAGTATAGTTTAAATCCAGTGTTTCTTTGTTGACTTTCTCTCTTGATGACCTGTCTAGTGCTGTCAGTGGAGTATTGAAGTCCCCCACTATTATCGTGTTGCTGTCTATCTCATTTCTTATGTCTACTAGTAATTGTTTTATAAATTTGTGAGCTCCGGTGTTAGGTTCATGTATGTTTAGGATTGTCATATTTTTCTGTTGGATGAGACCTTTACCATTATATACTGTCTGTCCTTGTCTACTTTAGCTACTGTTGCTTTAAAGTTTGTTTTGTCTCATATGAGAATAGCTACCGCTGCTCGCTTTTGGTGTCCATTTGCATGAAATGCCTTTTTCTATTCCATAATCATTCTGATGCAAAAACAATTGTAACTCTCCTTCTAGTGCCTACATTTCCTGTGAGCTCCAGTTGTGCATAGCAGAAAATACGGAGGCATCTAGGAAAACCTAGGGGCAGGAGGGGCTGGGAGGGAATAAGGCCTTTCAAGGTGTTTAAAGAAGAGACAAAGATGAAGAAGCAGGCATAGTTTCTGAAGACATTTTTTGGTCTTTGTTGTTGTTTGCATTTACCTAATTAGTTCTCAACTGCAGAGGCACATTAGAATATTCTGGGGAATTTTTAAAATACGACTGCATGGGCCACCTGTCATATACACTGATGTAATTGGCTTGAGTTGGGGCCTAGGTCTCTCTCTCTCTCTCTCTCTCTCTGTTTCTCTCTCTCTCTCTCTCTCTCTCTATATATATATATATATCCTGTTTTGTATATATCTAAGTATCTGTAGATATATACAGAACAGGGGATACCAGTGTGTACCTACCATTGAAATCAATTGTTTTCAAGTCTTTTTAGGTCTTATTCTCAGATGGTCTTGGGTAAATGGTGGCTGATTGCCTTCAGCATCTAGAATAAAACACTCTATGGCCCAGAGGAATTCCAGCTGGCATCTATGATCTTTTTCTCTTGAGGTAGAGCAGCTGAAGGGAGGATTATCTTCATGTTGAGTCTGATGGCAGGGTAATTTGCTTCATGTGGAGGCAAAGGGATATTGTTAGTTTTCCAGCTACATTGGGAGTTCTAAGTAGCCACATCTCAGGCTAATAGGAAGTCCAGATTGGTTCAAACCTTTTCTTAATTATCCTGTGTAGGAATGGACCACGCAGTATCCCTCAAGGAAGAATCAAGAGTGTTTCCACAGAGAATACACATATTTCATCTCTTTCTCTGCTGAATGGATCCCCACTGAAAGCCATGAATTAATTACTCTCATTAGACCCTGTAGGATCCCAGTTTATGGCAGTGACATTAAAAACATCTAGTTCATGACTTGGATTAGGCAGCCTGTAAAATGACTTCCAGTGATCCCTGCTTTCTGGTATGTATGCCCTTGTATAATACCCTCCTCATGAGTGTAGGCAGAGGTAACATCACTTTTGAAACTAGGTTATATATATTAAAACAAACAAACAAACCTGTGGCTTCCATTTTGGGTACTTTATCTCACACTCTCTGATTTCTTGCTCCGTGGGAAACAGACTGTAATGTTGTAAGCAATGCTATGGAGAGGTCCATGTGGTAAGGAAGTGATAGGTCCTGATAAGAGCCAGTGAGGATCTAAGGTGGATCCCTTTCTGAGTTGAATATTGAGATAGATGACTAACAGCCCTGGTCTACACCTTGATTGCAGCCTCATGAGGAATTCTGACCAAAAACACTGTGCTGAACCACGTCCAGGCTCCTGAGCCACATAAACTATGAGAAAACAAATATTTGTTTCAAGCCATTAAGTTTTAATTTGTTACACAGCAATAGATAACTAACACCTTTGTTACAGAGCAATAGATAACTAACACATGGAAGGATTCATCAAGAGAAGCGTTTTTCATAAGTGAAATGTTATTTTCATCTCACATTTCAATTATTAGAAAATAAAAGAAAATAAATTTGGATAGGCTCTCATAAATTCAATGATAAGAACTTGGAAAATGCAACCACATGATAACCAGGAAGTAAAAGGAAAACATAAGAGGCATCTTCCCAGACGAGAGTAAATATCTGGTTCCCTGAGAAGTGTAGTTTGAGAATGGAGAAATCAGATGTTACTGGAAAGAGGCTAGGACCGTATTATTTCTTGCTTCCTGTCAAGTCTTTTCAACTCAAGAGAAAGTAAATTTTCTTGACAAACCATTCAAAATTAAAGGATAGGTGGGAGTACATGTGTCCCTGAAGGAACAAGTGACCTTCATTGAAAGCAGCAGCTTGGTTGAATAAATACTGTACAGAAGTGGAATAAAGAGTAGCTGACAACAATGCTGAAATAGTTACACATGAAGTTTTAATGAGCTATTTCATATTAAGATACATATTGAGAATTCAAACCAGAGAGACCAGTTAATTGATATTTTCCCAACTCTGTTTTAGGGTGATCATAGAAATGATACCCACAAGTTAGTCACAGTGGCCTGCATCCATTTTGATATATCAGTGACGTATTCTGATTGGCCAGTAATCACCCATACTGACTGTTAAATATTTTTGTTATCACTCCTATGCATGGTGAATTTGAGTTCTGGTTTTCTTTAGCCTTGTGTTATTTATGTGTAAAGTTGGATCATGGAAGGCAAAGAATCTCCCGTGTGTCATTCACGCTCAAGTAAATGGCAGTGGGATAGGGATGTAAATGAAACTGCATGATAAGCCCTGCAAGTCATTCTGATGTATCGATTTTGCTTACTGGTGTTTAATTGCAGACATTGTCATATTAACGCAACCACTAATACATTATGGAGTAAGATGCAAAAATCACATGAGTCTTAACAGAAAAGAAATGTGATTTCTGTGGTGGGCCCCTTCTGCATTATTCTCTAACTTCTTGTTTTATACCTCTACTGTTAGAGAAATTTCAGTAGAAAATCGTGAGGGGCACTGTTTTAGAGTTTTTGTTGTTATAGCAATGCTTTTACTACAGCTAGGTCCCCTTGTACATCTTTATGTTCTTTGGCAGTCTAGAGAATCAGAAGAGCAAACTCTATGAGATAGAAACTCTAAGAATTTACCTCCAGCATCCCTTCTCTTCTGTCATTAAATTGAATTCATAGCCAACTCAAAGATTGACAATTTATACTATGGTTTTTATATTTTTATATTATAATTTATATTATGGCTTATGTCAAAATGTTTTGTTCACTGCTTTGAAAGTATCTTTTGTTTACTTTTGTTATCATTTCATATTTTAATTTTTTCCTTTCTAATTGTTAGAAACTCATGTATTTAATTTTATCTTTCAAAGAACATTTTTAAAAGGCTTACTCTGCTTATATGTATATTTTGCACAAAGCTTTCCATTCATAAACAAAAGGTGAATAGGAATCAGAATTGAAAACTACATAATTTCTTTTCTCCTTTTGAGTCAAATCATCACAGTATAGATTAGTCATTGTGTATGAAGTGCATTGCCAAGACATAGTCACATTTGTGTACAAATGTAAAGGCTATATCTCAATAGAAATAAAAAAACAAAAAAATGCAGAAGACCATTAGCTAATAATACTAATAATCTAGTATAGAAAGCATGTGCCAACTGATCTAGACTCTTGTGACAGTTGTATATCTACTCAGCTGCTTGACCTTAGGTGTATCAAAATCTCGATTTCCTAGACTACAAATGAGTAAGAGGGATGGAGGCCCCTTACAGTTTTAAGATTCTGGAATTCTAAGTGGGTGTAACTGGAGCAAATTTTATTTTCTAAAATTTGCATAATAAATTTTAAAATAGGAGAAAAACTAATAATTAAAGTACATATTTCTGGAAGTCTTTTTTAGGTGACTTATACTACCAGGAATGGATTTACCACTAAATATTGGTTTTGCCTAATTCAGCATTGCTATGTAATTTGATGGAAGTATAACTCCATAGACAAAGAGATTTGGTCCTAACATAGCTTGTATTTTATATGTATATACACTATTTCTATTTAAATTTCTGTGTAGTCATGTTTTACCCTTTTAAAATGAAGATTAGTTTTATTATGTATTTTCTTTTGTCTATAAACATTCAGTGAATTCACACTGAAAACTGATTATGAACAGATAGTCTGCTAGGCACTAAGGAAACACATATGAAAAACTAAGTCCTCCTCTGCCCTCAATATGCTCACAAGACTACAGTTACTGAAGCCTGACCTCAAAACCTAGCTAACAAAGTCCTTGAATCAGGTGATAGTTCAGAATACCATTCATGCTCTCTCCCAAGAGTATATCTGAGGAAGGGCAGTTCTTTCTAGTTTTCTACATCCTGGTCGTATAGGTCAACCACAGGAAAATTAAATGAATCTATTGGTTTGTTGACCTAGCCTTTTCATATAAGCCTCATCTATAAATGTATTACCAAATACTATTTATGTAAAGGGACTTGAATGACAAATATTTTGAAATTAAAACCACAATGGTTAGCATAGCTTTTAAATTAGATAAATGTTGACCTCCCATTGGTGAACATATAAAGTGCTACCAAGATCTGCCAATGAAAGACTTTGGAAGTGGAAATTCATCTTTTTAATAATCCTGTTATCTGTAAGCTGACCTCAAGCCTTCATGACATTCAAGGCCCCTTATTCCTAACTGTATCTTCTGTTTTGGGCATTGTGCTCTTGCCATCTAACAGGAAAACAACTTTCAGTGCTGCCACCTTTTGAACAGCAGAGATTTCTAGAGATTAGAAAATTACTAAATTTAAATATACATAGTTTTAAAATATGATACTTTTCTACCTATGCATTCAAATATATTCTAACTTTTAAATCCTGTAAATACTTATATTTGTAATGATTTTACTTATATGATCCAATTAATTGGCAAGAATATGTGGTGAAAGATTTTTTACATGTTTGTATTGTTCTGTGTGAGACATCTACTGTAAGCATTGCTTCAGGTTCTCATTTTTGTCTGCCTTCCAGGATTTGCTGGCCCAAGTGCTGTGTGCTAGACTTAGTCTCGGTCACAGAGGGGAGGGAAACTTGCAGTTGAGCCAGACAGTTTTGTTATTCCTTTAAAATTAAAAGCATATGAAACAGATACAGCTTATTAAGGTTTTTTTAATAAATAAAATAAACTTAAATAACAAAATAATAAAGTTCAAAAACAACTTAAAATATAGTTTAATGCTGTAACCATAGGAAAAAAGCATGATTATTTGTGGGAAGAACATTATTAAAAGCCATATTCCCAAATACGAATTATACAAAGATAGATTATGTTACTTGAAAAAAACTTAAAGATTTCTCAATTTTACTTTGAGAAATTATAAAATGTTATTTTGTGGCAAGTAAGATGAAGTACAGTATTATCATCAATCACTGTTGCTATCTTATATACAAGATTTTTGGAAACATCCTTTTAGCAATACCCTTTCCACTTGAGCAGCATTAGAAATTTTGTTCTTGTTAATAGGTATAAGCATGTTCTAATCCTGTACTTTTGTTAAATTATCTATTTTATTGACTTTCGTAATAGATTTTTTTGAGAATATTCTTTTTTTCTGATTAGAGTTTAAGTAGATTATAATTTTTCACTAGAAAGCATTTAAAATGCTGCTCATTTTCTATAGTTAGTGTGGCTTGATTATCTGACAAATCCTGCCAGCAGCCTGTAGGTCTGATACACCTTATATAACATCATCTGCATTATTATTATTATAGCAGCCATTTTATAAGCAGATAGGAATATTTAAATAATCATTATCAGATAATCAAATCTAACATACTCTTAAGGGTAAATTAATTTAAGAAAAAAATTACTATTACTAACATCATGATTGTACAACCAGTTTTACAATTTTGTACAACCTTTAGTTACTAAATCTGATTTTTGTGTATACTTTTCAAATCTTTCTTTAATGCAGTGTCTTAAAACAAACATAAATGCACAAGTCAAGCTTGATCAGTTTTTCAGTAGTTTTCCAGCCTTTCTTGATTACTAAAAAATAAAAGGAAAGAAAATTTTGAGAAGAAAGAAAACAGTCCACTTAAAGAAATCTCCCTACTGGAACTGGTTCTTTATATACCATATGCAATTAAGTTATTGCCATAGGAAGAAAGTGGGCTGTTTTTTGTTCTTTCTTCGTTTTTTTTCCTCTTACAGGAATCCCCTTTTGATTTAAGGCAACAAACATTTCCCCTCCATTGTGTGTCCATTTAGCTGCTGCATATGTGTTGTAATGGTTTTCCAGAATTAGTTCTTTGAAGTTACAATCTTCATTGCATTCTTTCTGTTCAAACAAACAAACAAACACACAAACATTATCCAAATGATTTTTAGAGAGGCTCAATTAAACGAAGAGTAAGCAGCAATATTTGGTAGAATTGAAACATACACAACTTTTTTTAACCCTCAGATTGAGCAGGCCTAATGTGGTTTATTAGCTAGACTTATGTAGTATATTTGCATAAAAAGGTATCTTAAATTTGAAATAAAGACACCACATAATGCACAGCTAGTGTGAAATATGTGTAGCTTTTTGGAAGTTCATGTCAACTATTCTTTAAAATTAGGACCTATTTCCCCCTAAGTAACAGGCCTCAAATTACTCTTCCCACATCACTCATTCTTTAACCACTGGAAATTTGGTAGAATTAGCAGAACCTCTGCCTCCCTCAGGTGAGAGACTTGTTTCACAACTTTTCTTTATTTACTTGTACACTGTCTTCAGTGGTAATGGAAGATAAAAGGTTAATTTGTTTGTTCATCCATGCAACCATTTGTTCATTCAATTAAACCTGTATCATTATATAATTAGCCTGTTCCAGGCATTATGCTGAGCTGTGGGAATACAAAGGAAAGCCAATTATATTTTATTACAGTGGGATGAACTGTTACATATTTTGCATTGTAGTGAAGTGGGAACAATGTGAATAATTACAGTTCAAAGCCCATGATTGTGAGATTGATGTTGATGAATGAACTAAACATTTCAAGATTTTTTCCCAAGAATTTTCATGTCAGCAATGTGCAAATTGGGTGAACTTTAGCAAAAAGAGCTTTAATACTGGCAAATGGAAATTTTGGATTTTAAATATCTAAAATGCACATGGAATGTTAGAGCTGGAAGGCTCCTTAGAGGTCAGCTAATTCAACTCATTTTACAGATGAAGAAACCAGAATCCAAAGAACAAGCCATTTGTCCAAAGTCACACAGAAAACATTTTTTCTTAACATTTGAGTATAAAGTGTTTTAATAAAATCATTAAATTATACAGTTGGAGATAGATTAAGTCCATGTTTACTTTTCAGAATGGTGAGATATTTCAACAAAAATGAGTTTTAAAAATTAAGCCTAAGCTATCAATTATCAATACCTTTGCATAGAGTTTTCCTTCCTCGTTCATTGCAAGATAGAATTCACTTTCCACCCCTTTGATTGCCACAATCCGAACTGCCACTGTCCTGATTTCCATGATATCTGCAAGGAATCACAGAAAGACATGTCAAGTATTCGTTCAGCTTTGCAAATGATCCACGAATGGCCATTTGTTCTTATTTCTGTTTTAATCGGAAGTCTTTAAAATTTTTAATGTGATTATTTACTCAGCCCAAGACCCCCGACCCACAAGAGATACACACAAACACCAGAATAGTCATTATATAAGGCAAGTGCAAACTGACGGTTTTTTATTTTGTGGAAAATGTGCCTGTATCGAATAAATAGTTACATATTTGAGTTCAGCTTTTTATTCTCTAGAATTAAATTTCTAATTTACTATAATAATAATAGCTAATGTTTATTGAACGCATACCACATGCCAAGGATTATTGCATTGCTCTTATGTATTAACTCATTTACTCATAACCGCAGATTGAGGCAGGTAGTCTTGTTATCCCAGTTTTACAGATCAGGAAACTGAAGCACAGAGAAACTAAGAAATTTGCCCAAATTCTTATACCTGATAAGTAGCAGAACTGGAATTTGAACCCACACATTCTGGCACTTAATCATTATATAATTACTTTTCTATTTGGATAAACTTTATCTTAAAAATTATGGCCAACAGAATAGCTCTTGAATATACTGAAAGTGAAGAAAATTCTAATTAAAGCAATTGTAAATGATGGTAAACAGAGCCTACTGCCTTAAAATAAAAGGTTGTTTTAAACTGATAGTATTTTGATACATGAAAAGACCATTTAAAACAAAATTATGAATCCTGTTTATATAATACTTCATAACTTTATACCTTTGTAATTAACTTTTAAATCTTTGTTGAAATAGTATTTACAAAACGTGTTTACACAAGAATGGTAACTTACCATTTTCCTTTATTATATATATCTTCCTTAAATCCTGTGTTTTAATGACACACTAAATAAAGTAAAATCTCAAGAAATTTATTAAAATGATGTAAGAATTAAAATTTTAGTGTACTTTTATGTAATTTGGTATTAATTACATTTTCTACATGAAGGTACAGTGCTGAGACATCCTTTTACCTATGTCTAACACAGTGCAAAGAAAAGTCAAAGTGTCAATTTTCTGTGTGATTGGGCCTTCAAAAGCTATTTTCTAAAATATTGACTTAAAGAAAAAGCTAATTGTTTTGCCCCATACCTTTACTTCATTCTCTTATTTATTTTTTTGACTTCATTTTTGCTACCTGGATAATAAAATTTCTATTCATGTCATTGGGATTTAATGTAGCCCAGCTAATATTTCTCATTTGCCTCACATATATGTTGCATATAGAAGCCCTTTTCCCAATATCCTATACTTAACACTAGTCAGAGCTCGTCCAGTTGAGAGTTTCACAGCTACTCCTCCAGAAATTGGGTTTGATTAAGAAAATGTAAATGAATGGATATTAATCTTTTTATATATTTATTAAGCATTATCACAATGCATACAACCCTACTGTAGTTTTAGGACACAAATTAAGAAAAACAGCCCTGGTTTCTGATACCAGAAGTTAAAACCTAATAGAAACAGCAAACACGTCCATATATTTTGAAGAATTTTGAAGAACACAGGCCTGAATAGGCCAGAGAAAATTTTACTAATTGCTTACAAGCACATGAAGGATTATGACGTTGATGCATTCATGTAACGTTCAGCAGATCTTCACTGAGAGCCAATTCTATGCTAGGCTCAATTCACAGACAAGCCTTGCCCTTTTAGGGCACTCTATTTGGTAACTACAACTTCATTGCATTAAAGGAAGCACAAAGGGAAATAACATGCAGAAGAATACTATTAGGTTAAATTTGTACTAATACAATGAAAAATACTGAAGAAATTCATTGATTCAGCATATTTGCAATACCTCCAAAATGGAATGAATGTATCAGTTAGGTTGGTGCAAAAGTAATTGTAGTTTTGCCATTACTTTTATGACAAAAACTGTAATTACCTTTGCACCAAACTAATATTTAAAGGACATATGGAATAGTTGGTTTCTAAAGATCTTAGCATTGTAAAATATCATTAAAAAGTCAATATTTTCTTTTCCTTCAAGTCTCTTTACTCCTGCCATTCCTCCCTGTATTTAATATATTTTCTTTTAGATAAAAAGAGAATGCTGATGCACAAGCTTAGAGTGTCTTTCTTGATCAGTTATTAGGGACTAGAATCTGTAATGTTTGCTGGCTTTTCTTTTACAGAACAATTGTAAAACATAAATGTTGACTGATAGAGTTAGTATTAATTATGATAGGCAGACGTCTTCCCTTTTTGGTCCTGTCATGACAATAAGTTCATATTGTCCCACTCCCAAAACATTTTCCTCTATCCCCTGCCTGTCTATTGCCCACTATTTCTTTATTGCACTTTACAAGAGGTGATGGCTGGATGTGGTAGCTCACATCTGTAATCCCAGCACTTTGGGAGGCCGAGTCAGGCAGATCACTTGAGGTCAGGAGTTCAATACTAACCTGGCCAACATGGCGAAAAATACAAAAAATTATCCGGGTGTGGTAGCGGGTGCCTGTAATCCCAGCTACTCAGGAGGCTGAGGCAGGAGAATTGCTTGAACCCAGAAGGCGGAGGCTGCAGTGAGCCAAAACGGTGCCACTGCCCTCTAGCCTAGGCAACAGAGTGAGACTCTGTCTCACCAAAAAAAAAAAAAAAAGAAAAATTAGTTGGGCATGGCGGTGAATTCCTATAATTCTAGCTACTTGAGAGGCTGAGGCAGGAGAATCACTTGAACTTGGGAGGCAGAGGTTGCAATGAGCCGAGGTCACACCACAGCACTCCAGTCTGGGTGGAGTGAGGCTCTGTCTCAAAATAATAAATAAATAAATAAATAAATAAATAAATAAATAAATAAATGAAAATAAGGTGGTGAACATTTTTAATCATATCTCTCCACATATTAGGGTTAAGGATACCACAAATTCTTTGTAAAGATTCTACGTTTAGCTGAGATGAGAATAGACTTATATTCTTAATTGCTTGACATATTTAAAAAATACCATTCACACTGGGAAATCAACATATCTAAAAGACAATTGCTTGGGGAGAGCATTAAGCAGTGTTGGCAGAATCAGTACCTTATCAACCCTATTTTCTAGTCTATTTTGTTCCATGTCCTACGACCCTCTTTTATTCAAGAAAAGCTCAAGAATAAGGAAATTAACATTATCACTCATTTGTTCAGTTGCAGTGTGGGGAGTAATGTTCCTTTCAATATGCACAAATATTTATAGAAGTGTTAAATATGGGCCGGGCGCAGTGGCTCACGCCTGTAATCCCAGCACTTTGGGAGGCCAACGCGGGCGGATCACCTGAGGTCAGGAGTTCAAGACCAGCCTGGCAAATATGGTGAAACCCCATCTCTACTAAAAATACAAAAATTAGCCAGGCATGATGCTGGGTGTCTGTAATCCCAGTTACTCGGGAGGCTGAGTCAGGAGAATCATCTGAACCTGGGAGGCGGAAGTTGCAGTGAGCTGAGATTTCACCATTGCACTCCAGCCTGGACAACAAGAGCTAGACTCTATCTCACCAAAAAAAAAAAAAAAAGTATTAACTATGAAATCCTACCCCTCCAAATCAGAAGCCACGAAGTTGCTCAGAAAACATAATAGAAAAATATGTAATATGCAGATATTGTTAGTTACCAATATGAGTTAATTATACTTGGTCTTTTTGTCTACAGTGTATCTGTTGCCTCACATAAAACAAATAGAAGAGGCTGTCTTTCTTTGTGGATTTCCATTTGTGCTTAAGAGAAGTTTGTTCACATAAGTAGCACTCAGTAAATTTATTCCCAGAGATTTAAAGCATATACATAGATGCATCAAATTGTTGGCATAATGTCCATGATAACATAATGGCAGAGTTCAAAAATATAAATAAAAGAGAGAGAGAGAATCAGCTCATGCAATAGAACATGAAAAACCAGGCAATATGTCAAGCACATTGACCATTTAGCCTTGTCAACAATATTGTCAACAATAGCATAAATTTATTATTTAGGATGTCACCCTTACACACTAGAGACTATGCCCTAAATAGCTTCCCTATTTTTTATCATCTGGTTCAATAATTCATGAATTTATCTAAACTTTTTGTCTGTTTATTATTTAAACCTGTGTCACACTTGGAATGAAAAGTGGGGAACTTTGATCTAAATTGCAATTACTTTTTTAAAAAATTCTGTAAGACCTTTCAGAATTTTAGGTGTCCCTCTAATCTTGTATTTCAGAAATTGATACTAATTCTTTTTTTAATTACCAATAGCTTTGTGATTTTAAAGTGCTTTAACTTTCCTGTTTGAAAAATTACTTTTTAGTGTCTCACTACACAGAATCCGTGTCCACCAATCTCAGCATCATTAATATTTCTTTTTCCTGAAACCGTTAAAGCTTTATGTTTAAAGTTTTGAAGGGGTATATATTAATATGGCTGTGCTAGCATGATAACTAAATATTATTTTCAAGTTGCAAAAAAAAGTGGAGGCAGCGGTTTGATAGTTAGCCAATCAGAACATTTAATCTTGTCCTTGATCAAATATACCCTCTTCGGCATGTTAAAACTAAGAACTAGTATCAACAAAGAAAAAAACATTTACATTTAAATACATTTTATGATTTTCTGTCAAGCCTGGATTGTTGAGTGGGAAATCTTAACCATTATATATTTATATTATGTTTAAGGCTATAGATTCCATTCATTTTACATCACTAAAATACACCGACATATACATATATGCAAAAAATATATCAATATATCCAACATATACAAAAAAAACACTGAAAACACAACAATAAGGAAAAAAAACCTAGTTAAAAAGTGGGCAAAATCTGGACACCTCACTACAGATACACAAAGGGCAAATAAGCAGATGAAAATATGCTCAATAACATAGATCATCAAGGAATTGCAACATGGATGCAGCCGGAGGCCATTATCCTAAGCAAATTAACACAGGAACAGAAAACTAAATACTGCATGTTTTCACTTATAACTGGGAGCTAAACACTGGGTACTTAGGGACATAAAGATGGCAACAACTGACACTGGGGACTACTGGCGGGGAGTAGATGAGGGAAGGGTTGAAAAACCATTAGGTACTATGCGCAGTACCTGAGTGATGGGAGCAATCATACCTCAAACCTCAGTATCACACAATATACCCAGGTAACAGACCTGCACATGAACCCCCTGAATCTAAAATAAAAGTTGAAATTATTTAAAAAGGAATTGCAAATTAAAACAACAATGAGATACCTCTATACAACTATTAGCATGACTAAACTCCAAAAAACTGACAGTGCTGTATGCTGGCAAGGATGCGAAGCAACCAAAACTCTTTCATTACTAGTGGGAATGCAAAATGGTGCAGTCACATGGGAAGACAGTTTGGCAGTTTCTTAAAAACTAAACATGCTATATAATCCAGCAGTCATGCCCCCAGGTATTTGCCCAATTGAATTGAAAACTTACGTCCATACAAAATCCTGAACATGACTATTTATAGAAGCTTTATTCGTATCATCTAAAACCAGATGCAACCAACATATCCAATAGGTAAATGGATGAACAAACTATGGTACACGTATACATTGGAATATTATTTAGCAATGAAAGGTATTGAGCTGTGAAGCCACAAAAAGACAAGGGGAACCTTAAGTACATATTGCTAAGTGAAAGAAACCAGTCTGAAAAAGCCACATACTGTATGATTCCAGCCATATGACATTCTGGCAAAGGCAAAACTTTAGAGGCAGTAAGATCAGTGGTTGCAAGGGCCTTGAGGAGAGCAGAAGAAGGATGAAAAGCTGAATCACAGGGGATTTTTAAATCAGTGAAACTATTCTGCGTAATACTGTAATAGTGGATACACGATATACATTTGTCAGAACTCATAGAACTATACAAAGCAAAGCGGGGACGTTAGTATAAATTGATGGTATAAATAAATATTGGCTCATCTATTGTAATAAATGTGCCACATTAATGCAAGATATTTATAATGGAGGAACTGTGGGGGGAAATGGAGATTGTTTATAGGAACTCTATTATCTGCTCAATTTTTTTTTTTTTTTTTTTTTGATACAGAGTCTCGCTCTGTCGCCCAGACTGGAGTGCAGTGGCGCGATCTCGGCTCACTACAAGCTCCACCTCCTGGGTTCACGCCATTCTCCTGCCTCACCCTCCCCAGCAGCTGGGACTACAGGCGCCCGCCGCCACGCCCAGCTAATGTTTTTGTATTTTTAGTAGAGACAGGGTTTCACCGTGTTAGCCAGGATGGCCTCGATCTCCTGACCTTGTGATCCACCCGCCTCAGCCTCCCAAAGTGCTGGGATTACAGGCGTGAGCCACCGCGCCCGGCCCTATCTTTTTATTTTAATAAAATAACTACCTAATTTATGACAGGATAGTAGCATCTGGTGTTCTCTGAGGTTCTTTGATTTGTGGGCAGGTGTCTGTTGCTGAATTTTAAAAGTTCTCAGCCATCCCTTTTTTCTTTTCACATTCTGGGTGAATGCAGTTTTCATAGAAGGTGCTAGATTTGTGCAACCCTAAAGATAGGTGACTCCTCTGACTCACAGATCCCTGAGAGCCTCTCCCGAACAGAGTTTCTTTATCCACACACCCCACTTCCCATACCCACTCTCCCACATAGGTGTTCTGGCCACCAGTAATCTCTGAAGGATGGAAGATGAAGAGACATGACTTTTACCTGAGTCTCTACTCCTCCCAAGAGAATGAATGTTCCTGGAAACTTCACCAACAGAAAATCAGGGGATATCAATATATGTAAGCACTCATTACTCATGTAATGGAGGCCTTAGCAAAATGTGACACTTAAATTTCTGCTCAGGGAGAGTAGAAAATAGGCACAGAGAATAGAGAGACTGGTAAAGAATGAAGGCTCAAAGGTGATTGAGTTGTGTTAAAGGCACGTCTTGATCAGGCTTTGCTTTATTTTTCTCTTGTGGAATATGAAAGTGGGTGTTACAATTAAATATATTTCTTGATTTCCTAAAATGTTATAGGCTGTTTCCAATTTTTGTTATTTTTGGAGTTTCTTAAATCGAAATTTGATTCAGGATAATTAAAAAATATAATGTTAATGTTAAGATGGAAAGTAGGTCAAAAGGCAATCACGTTAAGCAAGAGGATAATTGGAGATAGGACCTTGAACACGAAAGTAATCTTAAATTCTTGACTATTATGATACAGTTTGCATAAAGAACTGAGATTTCTTCAGAAAACTATAGTGAAATGGGACACTACAAATCAAATATAAATTTAAAAATGAACGCATTTATTCAATACATATCCATAGATTATTCTGGATTAAATGTACACATTTTAAGAATAAAGTTTTAAATTTGAAAATGAAAGACTGTTTCCCATCTAAACAGACCATTGGCTTCAAGATACTTACAACTGTGTTAAATCATCTTCCATTGGTTATAGTTGGTTATGGCATCGGCATCCCCAAATCTGGCTGACCCATACTACGTTTTTCCTAAATCTCTTTTTTCTTCTGTATCTTGCTAAGTCTGCTGGTTCATCCTCCCAATTTCCTGTATTTAAAACCCCAGTGCCACGTTTGACCTTGTCCTTTCTCTTCTGCTGTTCACGTCTTCTGTCTCTCACATTCATTCCAACCTACACATCCCAGTGGCCTATTCCTATTTAAGCACCCAACCCCCTCTCTCCTGAATGAATGCAGAAAGCTTTCTCATCTCTGGACTCATAACACAACAGTTATTATTACACACGACTGTCAGACGTGTGGAGTTCTTGAACCATAGTTCTCTGGTGTCATCATTCATTTTAAAAATTTTGGTTGGCTCCCTATTACCTAGAAAATAAACTTTAGTGTCCTTTGCTCAACATGTGAGGCCCTCCACAATCTAATTTCACACGCTCCAAAACCTTATTTCTACCTACTCTCTTCCAAGGACCCTGAACCCCACATTCCAGGCAAATCCAGTTATGGAACACTTGCAAAGGCCATCAGAAGTCACTGCAAAACCAATCCGGTCTGACTCCTATGTTGTTTAGTGCTCTATCCCCTTTGTCTGAAATGGCTTTCCCTCCACCTCTATTTTTGTTTACCGGCACCTTCCACAGCTTTCAGCATTCAGTTTGTCATGAAGGCAGCTGTTACAGACTGGACTAGAAAACTGTGAGCTGAATTGGTGGTTTCCAAATCAGTATCACACTTGATTCCCACCTCCAGAAATTTTGATAGAGGGGGCCTGGAGTAGAGCCAATGAGTCTTACACACACAGACACACACACACACACACACACACCCCAAAAGAAATCCACACCCCAAAACAAACACACACTTACCCTAATGACTATCTAGGTGCCAGCCCTAGCCTAGGCCAGGCTGGTGGAACATGCTGGATTAAAAACAACAGGACACTGAGAAAGTATTTGCTACACAGACATATGGGATTTGACCATGTGTTATTTACAGATAACCTAACTCATTGGAGTAAAACCTATCTTAAATTGGCATATGGTATAGGATATGTTGTAGCATTTTATTAGTGAACATTTGTAAGGTTTTATTTGTGAAAACTGATAAGACTGTATTTGTGACCATCACAAGGAAAACTGATAAAACTGTATTTGTGACCATCTCAAGGAAGGCCTGTCCTATGCCAGGCTCACCTGCCAAGCTGGCCGCAGTCCCTTCCTCTCTTGACCTCACGTTGCCCCTAAAGGCGTCTCTGTTATTATATTCATGACTTTCCATTTTCTAATACTGTGTACTGATCATTTCAACACATGCCTTATTCTCTGAATAGACTGAAGGATTCATTAAGTATCTGAAAAGCAAATGCTGATGAACTTGCCTAAAATAAAAGGCATGAAACATGCAAGTTTCTAACATAGATTGTAGCAGCCACCCCAGATGATTGCAATCGCCTCCCCATTGATCTCCCAGCTGACACATTCTATGTATTTGTAACTTAGCAACCAGAGTGAGCCTTTAAAAATTATCAGAGAGCGCCACTCCTCTTAGTAAAGCACTACCCCACCCCAGTCACGTAGCTTTCTGATTCACAGGAGTAAAAGCCAAAGTCCTTATAATGGCCTAAAAATCGTACATAATCTGTTCCTTTTCAGATTTCATTCACTACCATCTTCCCCCTTCTCTCTCTGTTCCAGTTACAACAGCTTGCTGCCCCCCTCAAACACAACTAGCACGTTCCTGCCCCAGGGCCTTTGCACCTGCTTTTTCCTGTTAGTGCAACAAGCTTGCTCCAGATATCTGAAAGGCTGACTATCTCGCCACCTTCAGATGTGTGTTCTAATGTCTCTTTATCAATGAGAGCTTCTTTGTCCACCCTGGGCATCTTCTTGCCCTTCCCTGCTTTATTCTTCCCCATGGCAGTTACTCACATTGGACACTAAACACTTGTTTCCTTAGCTAGGCATTCTTCTCCTACCCTCACAACAGTAGGAATGTCCTAAGGTTCTGAGAAGACTCCTGTGCTAGGTTTCCAGACTCCTGTCCTCTCACATTTGGTGCTCATGCACCTCTTGTTCATTAGTGCACTCCAGAGGTTAGGACCTAGAGTACGTGGCTGTCCTTCAGAGGAGGGAAAGGGATTGCTTAGGAGCAGAGAAGGGAGCTTTGGCCTCGCAGTGCAGGACCCCTGTGCCCACAGGCCTCTGTGTGTTGACAGCAATGCTCTTGGTGTCCACCTGCACTGCCCTCTGGTGTTCAGTCAAAATCAAGCAAATAGTTACGAACTGCTATAGGGGATTGTTACCAGGTCCTGAGTCTGAGTGTTGGAAACACAAACCCAGAAGCAAACAAATCTGCCCAACACCCCTGACATGTGGGTTTCACAGAAAATACTGAGGTCAGAGTAGCGTGTTAAATGATACCACAGTGATGACACAATCATAAAAATCTACACTGTGGACTCTGTCCTAGTTTCTTTAACGAATTGCATGGAAAAAAAAGATGGAAGGGGAAGAATAAGAATGAAGAATGCTTTAGAGACTCTGCAATCCATCGTAATATCCGTACAAGGATTCTGCTCTTTTAAAAAAAGAAAAATGGTGTGAAAAAATATGTAGGACTGGCCAGGCAGCGTGGCTCACACCTGTAATCCCAACACTTTGGGAGGCCGAGGTGGGTGGATCACTTGAGGTCAGGAGATCAATCCTGGCCGACAAGCCTGACCAACATGCCAATATGGTGAAACCCCGTCTCTACTAAAAATCCAAAAAATTAACCAGGCATGGTGGTGGGCACCTGTAATCCCAGCTAATTGGGAAGCTGAGGCAAAAGAATCGCTTGAACCCAGGAGGCGGAGGTTGCAGTGAGCCGAGATCTTGCCACTGCATTCCAGCCTGGGTGACAGGGCGAGACTCTATCTCAAAAAAAAAAAAAAGTAAGACAATCAGGGAAATTTGAACAGCGACTGGATTTTGGTTAAAAGTAAGTAATTCTGGCTAATTTTTAGATGTATTATTTTAAAAAGGGGATCCTTACCCTTTGGAGGTGGATACCTCCAAATATTCATGGATGAAATGACAGGATGCCAGAAATGCTCTTCAATTAATCTATGTCAGGGAAGTGGGATCAGAGGAATCAGGACTGTCTAAAACTGAAGCTGGGTATTAGGTCAATGAGTTAATTATACTATTCATTCATTATGCTATTTATTTCCTTTTGTATATTCTTTAAATTTTTCATAATAGTAATAAAGATATGTTGAACATGGTAAAGATGGAAAATGTACAGAGATAGAAGAAATATTCTTATTTTTTATTTCATACAATTCTATAGTTTCACATTTTGTTTTACTGTATTTATGCATTAATTCTATAACTGTAAAACATGCTATTAATAATTAAACTGACCTTATGAAAATTCTTGGAGAGTGAAAACTTTGAAACTCATGTGCTAGGTACATCATTAAAATATATCATTCAGGCGACACCTGATGACTCACATCTATAACCCCAGTAATTTGGGAGATGAAGATAGGAGGCTCCCTTAAGCCCAGGAGTTTGAGACCAGCCCTGGCTATATAGCGAGAGCCTGTTTCTACAAAAAAAAAAAAAATTATTATTAATTAGCCAGGCATGGTGGCATGCACCTGTAGTTCCAGCTACTCAGGAGGCTAAGGTCAGAGGAGAGCTTGAGCATGAAAGTTCAAGACTGTAGTGAGCCATGGTCATGCCACTGCACTCCAGCCTGGGAAACAGGGTAAAACCATGTCTCAATAAACAAACAAATAAATACATAAATACATAATAAAGTATTCCATTCAACATTTTTACCTTAGTAATGCTCAACGTTTGGTTTTTACTTATTTCCTTTTATGTTGTATTTTCTAGACCAAATTCACATATAGTATAAAGCAGAAGAAACTAAAGATTAAATTCATTGTTCGTAATTGTATTCAGTTTCCTGTTTTCATCATCGTTTGTTTACAAATTTTTTTTTTTTCTTTTTTGAGACAGAGTCTCGCTCTGTCACCCAGGCTGGAGTGCAGTGGCTGGATAGCTCACTGAAAGCTCCGCCTCCCAGGTTCATGCCATTCTCCTGCCTCAGCCTCCGGAGTAGCTGGGACTACAGGCGCCCACCACCATGTCTGGCTAATGTTTTGTATTTTTAGTAGAGACGGGGTTTCACCATGTTAGCCAGGATGGTCTCAATCTCCTGATCTCGTGATCCACCTGCCTCGGCCTCCCAAAGTGCTGGGATTACAGGTGTGAGCCACTGCCCCGGTCTGTTTAGGAATATTTTTAAAGAATTATTGCACTTCTGTTCGGATAGAAAAACAAAAATGCATTTTAAGAATATATATTTATATGTATGAAAATATAAAATTTTGAAAAGTTGAATATTTCGAGCCAGTTATGTAGATGTCCTTGTCCTTCTCTGAGCTGCTGACTCACGTTCCATGAAGCGGGATGGGTCTCACAGGGCCTGTCAGGATGCAGGCTGTGATGTGAAGGCCCCTCGACACTCACAGGATTGGACGGGTTTGTGAAGGAATTTGGAGTGAGCCTTAGTTAGTTCCTTAACATTTCCTTTGAGCAACATCAGTGCTTTTGACATTTTGCACTGCCGTATAAAACTGTAAGTGCATGCAGAGATGTATGTTTCTGAATAAATCACAAAATTGACAAGCAACTGCCATGCATTGTTTTTTGTATCATAGCTAACTGATAAAGTACAGACTGCAATATTTACTTATTCAAATACCTTTAAACATCTGGTATTTTTTTTTTACCTGTACTTCCCAGGAATTTGATGTCAGATGCATTTTCTATTATTTCCATATCTATTGAAATGAACTCAAATAAAAAAAGGGGATGTTTCATTACACACTTATTAATGTGTAATTTAAGATTAATGTGTAATCTTGTAATTCCCATAATCCTCATGTGTCAAGGGCGGGACCAGATGGACATGATTGAATCATAGGAGTGGTTTTCTCCACGCTGTTCTCGTGATAGTGAGTTCTCACAAGATCTGATGGTTTTATAAGGGGCTTCTTCCTTCACTCAAAACTCATTGTTTCTGCTGCCACCCTGTGAAGAGGTGCCTTCGGCCATGATTGTAAGTTTCCTGAGGCATGCCCAGCCATGTCAAACTATGAGTCAATTAAACTTTTCTTTATAAATTACCCAGTCTTGAGTAGTTCTTCATAACAGCATGAAAACAGACTAATACAGTAAATTGGTACCACAGACATAGGGTGCTGTTATAAGGATACCCTAAAATGTGGAAGTGACTTTGGAACTGGGCAACAGGCAGAGGTTGGAATAGTTTGGAGAGTTCAGAAGAAGACAGTAAAGGCTGGGTGTGGTGGCTCATCCCTGTAATCCCAGGACTTTGGGAGACCGAGGCAGGTGGATGACCTGAGGTCAGGAGTTTGAGACCAGCCTGGCCAACATGGTGAAACCCCATCTCTACTAAAAATATAAAACTAGCTGGGCATCGTGGTGCATGCCTGTAATCCCAGCTACTTGGGAGGCTGAGGCAGGAGAATGGCTTGAACATGGGAGGTGGAGGTTGCAGTGAGCAGAGATTGTACCACTGCATTCCAGCTTGGGCAACAAGAGCGAAACTCCATCTCAAAAACAAAAAAAAAAGAAGACAGAAGAATGTGGGGAAGTGTGGAACTTCCTAGAGACTTGGAGGGCTTGGAAGACAAGAAGATGTGGGAAAGTTTGGGACTTCCTAGAGACTTGAATGGCTTCTACCAAAATGCTGACAGTGACATGGAAAATGAAGTCCAGGCTGAGGTGGTCTCAGATGGAGATGGGGAACTTGTTGGGAACTCGGATAAAGGTGATTCTTTCTATGCTTTAGCAAAGAGACTGCAACACTTTGCCCCTGACCCGGAGAGCTGTGGAACTTTGAACTTGAGAGAGATGATTTAGGGTATCTCGTGGCAGAAATTTCTAAGCAGCAAAGTGTTCAAGAGGAAGCAGAGCATAAAAGTTTAGAAAACTTGCAGCCTGACAAGGCGATAGAAAAGAAAAACCCATTTTCTTGGGAGAAATTCAAGCCAGCTGCGGAAATTTGCAGAACAAGGAGTGGAATATTAATTGCCAAGACAATGAGGGAAATGTCTCCAGGGCATGTCAGAGACCTTCTTGGAAGCCCCTCCCATCATAGGCCTGGAAACCTAGGAGGGAAAAATGGTTTCATGGGCCCAGGACCCCCTGTTCTGTGCAGCTTTGAGACATGGTGCCCTGTCTCCCAGCTGCTTCAGCTCCAGCCACAGTTAAAAGGGGCCAAGGTACAGCTCAGGCCATTGCTTCAGAGGGTCCAAGCTCCAAGCCTTGGAGGCTTCCATGTGGTGTTGAGCCTGTGGGTTCACAGAAGTCAAGAATTGAGGTTTGGGAACCTTCACCTGGATTTCAGAAGATGTATGGAAATGCCTGGATACCCAGGCAGAAGTTTGCTGCAGGGGCAAAGCCCTCATGGAGAACCTCTGCTAGGACAGTGCAGAAGGGAAATGTGGGGTTGGAGCCCCCACACAGAGTCCTCACTGGGGTACTACCTAGTGGAACTGTGAGAAGAGGGTTACCGTCCTCCAGACCCCAGCATGGTAGCTCCACTGACAACTTTCATTGTGCCCCTGGAAAAGCCACAGACACTCAATGCCAGCCCATGAAAGCAGCCAGGAGGGAGGTTGTACCCTGCAAAGCCACAGGGGTGGAGCTGCCCATGGCCATGGGAGCCTATTTCTTGCATCAGTGTGACCTGGATGTGAGACCTGGAATCAAAGGAGAACATTTTGGAACTTTTAAGGTTTAATGACTGCCCTATTGTTTTTCAGACTTGCATAGGGCCTGTAGCCCCTTTGTTTTGGCCAATTTCTCCCATTTGGAATGGGTGTATTTACAGGCACAATGCCTGTGCCTCCATTGTATCTAGGAAGTAACTAACTTGCTTTTGATTTTACAGGCTCATAGGTGGAAGGGACTTGACTCAGATGAAACTCTGGACTTGGACATTTGGGTTAATGCTGTAATGAGCTAAGACTTTGGGGAAGTGTAGGAAAGGTATGATTGTTTTGAAATGTGAGGACATGGGACTTGGAGTGGGGCCAGGGACAGAGTGATATGATTTAGCTCTGTGTCCCCACCCAGATCGCATCTTGAATTGCAGTTTCCATAATCCCCAAGTGTAAAGGGTAGGATCGGGTGGACATAATTGAATCATGGGGTAGTTGTCCCCATGCTGTTCTCATGATGATGGGTGAGTTCTCATGAGATCTGATCATTTCATAAGGGGCTTCCCCTTTGCTCAAAACTCATTATTTCTGCTGCCACCCTGTGAAGAGGTGCCTTCTGCCATGATTGTAAGTTTCCTGAGGCTTCCCTAGCCATGTGGAACTGTGAATCAATTAAACCTCTTTTCTTTATAAATTACCCAGTCTTGGATATTTCTTCATAGCAGCATGAGAATGGACTAATACAACATGTGAGTGCATTTCCAGTTAATAAATAGGTAATATTTTCTGTGCTTTCTGCTATGGTAATGAATTGCATTACAACTTCACTAAAGAGAGAAATCACTCACAATTTGAGACCTAAACCAAGAGCTGAAGAAAGTGCAAAGAGACCTACAATAATTCCTATAAGTTATTTCCAATGGAAGCCCTCTGTGAATGTAGTACTGTAATACAAAAAACCTATGGAATAAAAAGAATGCATTCTCTGAGTAATGTTATGCAGTTTAACCCCTCTCTGCATATTTTTGTCACCTGTCATCTGTAATGTAGGGATAATACAATTAATGTTATTGTCATGATTACATGAGTGAGATGAGTGAGGAATTTTTTTTGTTTTTTGTTTGTTTTGAGACGGAGTCTGGCTCTGTCGCTAGGCTGGAGTCCTGTGGCGCGATCTTGGCTCACTGCAACCTCCAACTCCCCGGTTCAAGCGATTCTCCTGCCTCAGCCTTCTGAGTAGCTGGGACTATAGGCACAGACCACCACACTAGGCTAATTTTTGTATTTTTAATAGATACGGAGTTTCACCATGTTGTCCAGGATGGTCTCGATCTCCTGACCTCGTGTTCTGCCTGCCTCGGCCTACCAGAGTGCTGGGATTACAGGCATGAGCCACCGTGCCTGGCCAAGTGAGGCATTTTAAACAGTGCATGGTTCCAAGTAATGGCTCAGAAAAGTTAGCTATTAGAATTGTAATGGTTGTTAGTGATGTTTGCCATTTTCTTTAAGAATTTCACACTTGTATCAAAAAACAGTATTAAAAGAACTATACAATCATTTAATATATAAAAAGGATAATTCTTTGTAGTTTAAGCCATAAAAGTTGCATCCAAACATAGATTTAAATAACCTCTTGTCCCCACCTTTAATAGTCTTTCAAAATATCGCATGTGCTTTTTATATTGTGAAAAGAAATAAATTAAATAGTCATACTTACAGGATTAAAAGTTATTTTCATGTACTTTGGAATTTGTTCATATTAGTTACACTTCAAGTTAATATTACATGTAATATTAAATGTACTTAATATTAAAAGTGCATTTAAAATACCTGAATGAAAATAAATTTTCATAATCAAATAAATCCCAGCACTGATTCAAGAGAATTATACCACCATGCTCATACTAAGAAGACACTGAATCAAAGCAGAAGCACATGCCTTAATCGTTGATAAGTGAAGCCTTCAGTGAGTATCAAAAATAAAAGATAGCAAAAACAGAATAATTACTACACTAATCATAGATGATTGGCAAAGGTAAACATAACAAATTTCTAGGAAGGAGCTGCTTCGAAGAGTGATCTTTATGCGGGAAAACTCCAGCCTGGTGCCTTTGGGATCACTGATTTCCCTTGCTGGGAGTACTTGTGGTGAAACTAATAAAATCACTGAGATGCCACAAGAAAAATAACTTGGGAAGAAGCTGACCACCGAGTTACAGATTCATGGGAAAGACATCAGGAGGTCATTTCCCTCATTTCCTTGCCTTGAGATTAATACTCAAGTCATCAACGCTAAATAAATATTTCCTGAAAATAAAGTATTTCTAGGAAAAAAATCATAACTTTGAGAATCCTCATGTTTGTATAATTGAATCAAGGACAGATGTGACTAACTTCAGAAGTCTGTTGTTCTTCCTATATTCAGTCCAGCAAACTCTCAGCAAAGCCCCCAGTGTATGAAGAATATGAAAAAGGAGTTCTGCTAGTAGAATTTGGGACTGAGAGTCCAGAGTTCTGATCTTTTGGCCTGTGCCTTCTAATGCCCTTTCACCCCACTTCATCTAAGGCAACCCTAGAAATTGTCAAAGAAAAACAGCAGTGCTGGATACTTGCTAAAGGCAATGAGACCTATTTTACTCAGACTATTTCAGCAGGAGGGAGAGACTTCAGTATAAACTAAGCTCAACTCCAAGTAAGACAAAGGAGGCTGATGTTTTTAAAAATAGAACAAATGGGAAATAAAAAGAAACTATGGAAAAGTAAAAAGAGGGGAATTAAAAAAGGGACTGAGGACTACGTGAAAATGCAAATTATAAAAGGGGGTAAGAGTCTGGCGCGGTGGCTCACGCCTGTAGTCCCAGCACTTTGGGAGGCCGAGGCGGGCAGATCACGAGGTCAGGAGATCGAGACCATCCTGGCTAACACGGTGAAACCCCGTTTCTACTAAAAACACACAAAAAGTTGGCTGGACATGGTGGCGGGCTCCTGTACTCCCAGCTACTCAGGAGGCTGAGGCAGGAGAATGGCGTGAACCTGGGAGGGGGAGCTTGCAGTGAGCTGAGATCACGCCACTGCACTCCAGCCTGGGGGAGAGAGGGAGACTCCGTCTCAAAAAAAAAAAAAAAGCGGGGGGTAAGTAGAGAATTACTGGAAATGATTTGACACCATCAGTTACGACAATATACATTATGTAGTTTGGCAGCATTGTATTTTCTTGAGCAAAGACTCAGCGCAGGGCCTGGGGTTAACTACTCCAAGTGGAAGCCAGGCTAATGTTAGGTCAAGTCTCTTAGCACAGTGTTTAGGCAAATCCTTTTTGCTTCAGGGAAGTTCACAGTCCCTCCTCTTGTTCAAGAGAAAGAATGAATTTCTTTCTCGTAGAATAAATATAGTTGTTGCACTCCAAAGTCCTCAAAAGAAAAAAGTTCAGCCATTGTTTATCATCATTGTGCAATTCAGGAAGAGTCAAGGTGGTAAATGCAACAATCGAGGAGGTTTGGTGTACTATCAATGGTGGCACAATTGTCTCATAAGAATAGAGATGCACTTGGTGGGTCATGCCTGTAATCCCAACACTTTGGGACGCTGAGGTGGGTGGATCACGAGGTCAAGAGATCGAGACCATCTTGGCCAACATGGTGAAACCTCATCTGTACTAAAAATACAAAAATTAGCTGCGCATGGTGGCACACGCCTGTAGTCCCAGCTACTCAGGAGACTGAGGCAGGAGAATCGCTTGAACCAGGAGGGGGAGGTTGCAGTGAGTAGAGATAGTGCCATTGTACTCCAGCCTGGTGACAGAGTGAGACTCTATCTGGAAAAGAAAAAAAAAAAAGAAGAATAGTGGTGTACTTAAGAGACAAAGAATATTGCCATTAAGGATGTTTTTAAGAAGCCAAGTGCAAGATCAAAAAAGACAAAGGAGAGCATTACATAATGGTAAAGAGTTCAATTCAACAAGAAGATCTAACTATCCTAAATATATGTGCACCCAATACAGGAGCACCCAGATTCATAAAGCAAGTTCTTAGAGACTTACAAAGAGACACGGAGTCTCACACAATAACAGTGGGAGATTTCAACACTCCACTAACAGTTATTAGACAGATCACCAAGGCAGAAAATTAAAAAACATATTCAGGACCTGAACTCAACATTAGATCAAATGTATCTGATTGACTTCTACAGAACTCTCCACTCAAAAACAACAGAATATACATTCTTCTCATCACCACATGGCACATACTCTAAAATCAGCCACATAATTGGACATAAAACAACGCTTAGCAAATGTAAAAGAACCGAATTCTTACCAAACACACTCTTGGACAACAGTGCAGTAAAAATAAAAGTTGAGACTAAGAAAATCACTCAAAACCATACAATTACATGGAAATTAAACAACATGTTCCTGAATGACTTTTGGGTAAATAATGAAATTAAGGCAGAAATCAAGAAGTTCTTTGAAAATAATGTGAACAAAGATACAACATACCAGAATCTCTGGGACACAGGTAAGGCAATGATAAGAGGGAAATTCATAGCACTACCTGCCCACATCAAAAAGTTAGAAAAATCTCAAAAAGTTAGAAAGATCTCAAATTAACAACGTAATATCGCAACTAAAAGAATTACAGAAGCAATAACAAATCAACCCCAAAGCTAGCAGAAAACAAGACATAACCAAAATTGGAGCTGAATGGAAGAAAATCAAAGACACAAAAATAATTCAAAAGATTGTTGAATCCAGGATTTTTTTTGAAAAAATTAATAAGATAGGCCAACACCTAGAATAATAAAGAAAAAAAGAGAGAACGTCCAAATAAACACTACTAAAATTTTGAGGCCCGGTGTGGTGGCTCATACCTGTAATCCCAGCACTTTGGGAGACTGAAGCGGGTAGATCACTTGAGGCCAGGAGTTTGAGAGCAGCCTGACAAACGTGGTGAAACCCTCTCTACTAAAAATACAAAAATTAGCTGGGCATGGTGGCACACAACTGTAGTCCCAACTACTCAGGAGGCGGAGGCACAAGAATTGCTTGAACCCAGGAGGCAGAGCCTGCAGTGAGCCAAGATGGTGCCACTGTACGCCAGCCTGGATGACAAAACAAGACTCTGTCTCAAAAAAAAAAAAAAAAAAAAAAACAGAAAGGAAAATGTTAACACTGACTGCACAAAAATAAAAATAATCAAATAACCACTAAAAACTACTATGAACACCTCAATGCACACAAACTAGAAAACCTTGAAAAGATGGATAAATTCCTGGACACATACACCCACCCAAGACTAAGCCAGGAAGAAATTGATTGCCTGAACAGACCAGCAACAAGCTCCAAAATTGAACCAGTAACAAATAGCCTACCAACCAAAAAAAGCCCAGGACCTGATGGATTCATAGCTGAATTCTACCAGATGTACAAAGAACTGGTACCATTCCTAGGGAAAGTACCCCCCGAAAAATTGAGAAGGAGTGACTCCTCTTTAGCACATTCTATGAGGCCACCATCATCCTGATACTAAAACCTGGCAGAGCCACAACAACCAAAAAGAAAACTTCAGGCCAATATCCTTGATGAACATCAATGCAAAAATCCTCAGCAAAATACTTGCAAACCAAATCCAGCAGCACATCAAAAAGCTAATCCACCATGATCAAATAGGCTTCATTCCTGGGATGCAAGGTTGGTTCTACATATGCAAATCAATAAATGTGATTTCGTCACATAAACAGAACTGAAGACAAAAACCACATGATTATCTCAATCAATGCAGAAAAAAAGCTCTTGATAAAATTTAACCCCCTTTCATGTTAACAACTCTCAACAAAGTAGGTATTGAAGGAATATACCTCAAAATAATAAGAGACATCTATGACACATCCACAGCCAATATCACTTTGAATGGGCAAAAGCTGGAAGCTTTTTGCCCTTGAAAACTGGCACAAAACAAGTCTGCCCTCTCTCACCACTCCTATTCAAAATAGTTGTGAAATTCCTAGCCAGAGCAATCATGAAAGAGAAAGAAATAAAGAGCATCTAGATAGGAAAAGAAGAAGTCAAACTATCTCTGTTTGCAGATGACATGATGTTATATCCAGAAGCCTCATACCTTCAGCCCAAAAGCTCCTTTAGCTGATAAACAGCTAACCAGGGAGGTGTAGAATTCTCTACAATGAGAATTACAAAACACTGCTCAAAGACATCAGAGATGACACAAACAAATGAAAAAATATCACAGGCTCATGGATAGGAAGAATCAACATAATTAAAATGGTCATAATGCCCAAAGCAATTTACAGATTCAATACTATTCATATCAAACTACCAATGACATTCTTCACAAAACTAGGAAAACTATTTTAAAATTAATATAGAACCAAAAAAATAAGGCCTGAATAGCCAAGACAATCCTAAGTAAAGAGGAGAAAAGCTGGAGGCATTATGTTACCCAATTTCAAACTATGTTACAGGGCTACAGTAACAAAAACAACATGGTAGTGGTACAAAAACAGGCAAATAAACCAACAGAACAGAATCAAGAGCCCAGAATAAGGTTGCACACCTATGACCACCTGATCTTCAACAAAGCTGACAAAAGCAAGCAATGGGGAAACAATTCCCTATTTGATAAATGGTGCTGGGATAACTGGCTAGCCATATGCAGAAAACTGAAGCATCCACTCTTCCTTACACCACCCTTCCTTACACCAAATACATAAATCAACTCAAAATGGATTAAAGACATAGTGTAAAACCCAAAACTATGAAAACCCATGAAGACAAACTAGGCAATACAATCCTGGACATAGGAATAGGCAAAGATTTCATGACAAAGACGCCAAAAGCAATTGCAACGAAAGCAAACAATGACAAGGGGGATCCAATTTACTTAAGAGCTTCTGCACAACAAAAGAAACTATGGACAGAGTTAACAGACAACCTACAGATTGGGAGAAAATATTTGCAAACTATGCATCCGACAAAGGTGTAATATCCAGCATTTATAAGGAACTTAAACAAATTTACAAGAGAAAAACAAACAACTCCATTAACAAGTGAGCAAAGAACATGAACAGAAACTTTTCAAAGGAAGACACGCATCCAACAAGCATATGAAAAAAACTTCAATATCTATCACTAATCATTAGAGAAATGCACATCAAAACCATAGTGACATACTGTCTCATACCAGTCAGAAAGGCTATTGTTAAAAAGTCAAAAAATAGCAGATGCTGGTGAGAATGCAGAGAAAAAGGAACACTTAGACACATTGGTGGGATGTAAATTAGTTTAACCATTGTGGAAAGCAATATGGTGATTCCTCAAAGAGCTAAAAGCAGAACTGCTATTTAACTCAGTAATCCCAGTACTGGGTATATACCCAGAGGAATATAAACCAGTCTACCATAAAGACACTTGCACATGTAAATGTTCATCGCAGCAATATTCACAATAGCAAAGACATGGAATCAGCCTAAATGCCCATCAATGACAGATTGGATAAAGAAAGTGTGGTACATATACACCATGGAGTACCATGCAGCTGTAAGAAAGAATGAGATTATGTCGTTTGCAGGAACATGGCTAGAGCTGGAGGCTATTATCCTCAGCAACTAACGCAGGAACAGAAAACCAAATACTGCATGTTCTTACTTGTAAGTGAAGGCTAAATGATGAGAACTTATTAACACAAAGAGGGAAACAGCAGACACTGGGGTCTGCTTGAGCATGCAGTGTGGGAGGTGGGAGAGGAGTGGAAACAGTAACTGTTGGGTACTGGGCTTAATTCCTGGGTGATTAAATAACCTGTACAACAAGACCCCATGACATGAGTTTACCTTTGTAACAAATCTTCACATGTACCCCTGACCTTACAATAAAAGTTAAAAGAAAAAAAAAAAAAGCCAAGTCCCTTAAAAAGTCTCCTAAGCCATTTGGCTGGGGAAACCATTTTCTCCTTAGAGACTAAGCCTGTCTGGAGGGGCGTGAGCTATGTTGGCTGCTTCTCAGGCACGTGCTGCCACGACTTCTTGATTCATTTCTCTTTATCATTCATGAATGAAAAGCATTGGGAACTCACCAGTGCACAAGCACCTTCTTGAAAACCCAGTATGTAGTCTAAGGTGAGCTAGTTTTGTAAAGTCATTTTGAGAAGCTCCAATACCTCATGGATTTATGAAACAAAAGCTTATATTAAGTTTGAGATGAACTCTACTAATTATTTTTTAAATTGTTATTTCAATAGCTTAAGGGGTACAAATAGTTTTTGGTTATATGAATAAATTGTATAGTGGAGAAGTCTGGGCTTTTACTGTATCTGTCACCAAATAATTTACAGTGTACCCAAGAGGTGATTTTTTTTTATCCCTCTCCCTTCCTCTCTGAGCCTCCAATGTCCATTATGCCCCTCTGTATACCTTGTGTACCCATAGCTTAGCTCCCACTTATATGTAAGAACATGCAGTATTTGGTTTTTCCATTCCTGAGTTACTTCACTTATGGTAATGGCCTCCAGTTCCAAGTTGCTGCAAAAGACATTTGTGTGCGTGTGTGGCTAAGTAGTATTCCTTTTTGTTGTTGTTGCTGAGATGGAGTCTCGCTCTGTTGCCCAGCCTGGAGTGCAGTGGTGTGATCTCAGCTCACTGCGACCTCTACCTCTCGGGTTCAAGCAATTCTCTGCCTCAGCCTCCCGAGGAGCTGGGATTACAGGTGCCCGCCACCATGCCCAGCTAATTTTTGTATTTTCAGTAGAGATGGGGTTTCACCCTCTTGGCCAGGCTGGTCTTCAACTCCTGACCTCATGATCCACCTGCCTCGGCCTCCTCAACTGCTGGGATTACAGGCGTGAGCAACCTGGCTGGGCCTGTAGTATTCCATTTTTTATATATACCACATTTTCCTTATCCATTCCTCTGTTGATAGGCACTCAGCTTGATTCTCTATCTCTGCTATTGTGAATTGTGTGTGATAAACATCCATGTGCAAGTGTTCTTTATATATAATGACTTCTTTTCCTTGGGTAGATACCAGTAGTGGGATTGCTGATTGAATAGTAGATCTACATTTAGTTCCTTGAGAAATCTCCACATTGTTTTTCATAGAAGTTGTACTAATTTACATTCCCACCAACAGTGTATGAGCATTCTCTTTCATCACATCTGTGCCAACATCTGTTTTTGTTTGTTTGTGTTTTAACCTTTTGGCTAGGGTAAGACAATTCTGACTAGATGGTATCTCACTGTGATTTTAATTTGAATTTCCGTGATGATTAGTGATGTTGAGCATTTGTTCATTTATTTGTTGGCCGTTTCCATATCTTCTTTTGAGAAATATCTATTCATGTCGTTTGCCCACTTTTTAGTAGGATTATGTGTTTTTTTTCTCGCTAATTTGTTGGAGTTCCTTTTAGATTCTGGATACTAGTCCTTTGTCAGATGTATCTTACAGCATAGGAGTTGGCTGACCTATGTTGGTGACAAAGGGTAGAATATCAAGAGTAGAGCACCCTGTAAGTTTGGCCTGAGCAAGCGGCTCTCCCCGGACCTGTTTAAGGCTGCTTGTCATCCAGCCATTATCCATTCACAAGTTTCAGGCTCAGCAATTGTGGGAGCGCTCATGTTTCTAATGTTTCCATTGGGAAATTTTTCATACATTTCCATTTGAGGGACAGCATAAGCCACATCGCAGCAGCCAGCCCAATGGGCTGGAAGTACTTTGTATGGTTTTATGACCACATACTAAATAATGTCCCTTGAGGGCATACTAGTGTTGGTTATTGCCTCTAGTGGTTGTAACAGAGGCTAGAGGAGCTAACCTGGAATAGACTCCAAAGAGATAGTTATAAACATCATCTTCTAAATGGCTGGGTACTTTGGTACCATTTAGCCAGCAATTTTTTGCCCAGTCTTTCAGTTCACCAAAATATTGATCTGGAGTAAAATAATTTCCTATGATACTGGTATTGCGTGGGTATTGCAGACAATGCTGTCCTTAATGGGAGTTTGGCCCTTACAAAGAATGTCTGTTTCTTGAAAATAGGTTTCATCTTTTCACAAGGACACAGAGCATCTACTGTGTTCCACAGGGTGACTGTATTTATTAGACTGATTTCTAGTAAAACACCACGTTTCTTAGGTTAAAGAGGCCACATCATACTCCCAGTCACAAGGGCTTTTAAGAAATAGCCCAATGTCTTTCTAAAAGGGAGACCTAAATGGCTGTATATTTGTAATGTTTTCTGCCAAGGCCATATCTAAAGCATAAGGGAGACAATTATTAAGGGAATACCAGTTTTAGGATAGAGTGGGAATGGGCATAGACCCGGCAATTACTTCGGTTAATTTCATTGGCTACTTTGTCAGCTAAGAGACCGAGGGAATTATGGTCATGAGAGGAAAGCACGGGATAGGGTAAGATGAGGAAACAGAGGGGAATCATGACAGGGCTGCTGAGGCTGGAGATGGAGTATATATGTTGTAAGTAGGACACATCACTAGGATAAAGATGGGACGTTGTAGAGGACACAGGAGTAGTAGCAGAATGCGTAGACCCAAAATTGAAGTCAGAGACAGGGGAGGGGAATCGGAGTGAATCTTGTTTCATGATCTTTGGCAGAAGCGGACTGCTTCATCATATCATTTACTTGCTCCGTAGTTCTTAGGATGGATGTCTGTCTCCAGCTGTTGGCTACTTTTAGAGGTTCTTTTCTTTTCTTTCCTTTCCTTTTCTTTTCTTTTTTTTTTTTTTTTTTTTGAGACCGAGTCTTGCTCTGTCACCCAGGCTGAAGTGCAGTGGTGCAATCTCTGCTCGCTGCAAAGTTTGGAGGTTCTTTTTTTTTCTTTTCTTTTCGAGATTGAGTCTCGCTCTGTTCCCAAGGCTGGAGTGCAGTGGCTCAATCTCGGCTCACTGCAAGCTCCGCCTCCCGGGTTCACGCCATTCTCCTGCCTCAGCCTCCCGAGTAGCTGGGACTACAGGAGCCCGCCAATTAGCGCCCGGCTAATTTTTTCGTATTTTTAGTAGAGACGGGGTTTCACCTGATGGTCTCTATCTGCTGACCTCGTGATCCGCCCGCCTCGGCCTCCGAAAGTGCTGGGATTACAGGCGTGAGCCACCGCGCCTGGCCTGGAGGTTGTTCATAGAGTCTCAGCGTGAGTCTCTGGTTAGAGTGCCTTCCAATTGAAATAGATTTTGTATTTTTTCAACTAAAAGACATGCACCCAAGTTCAAACACTCTGTAATTTGTTAGCAGTGTTAGCAATGAGTGAAACAATAAAAGGTCCCCTCCCTCTGGGTTCAAGGTTAGTTTTCTGATGTTGGTGTTTTTTCAAAATGCCAGATCACTTACTTATGAAGCAAGTAAGGACTGATCAGGGAGTTTAAAGATACAAGAAGCCTCAATTGTGGAGTATAGTGGGGCTGTGTGTATTTAATTAATCCCTGACAATATCTGAGGTTGTTGAACTGAGTTAGTTTGGAATCTTCTGCTAGTTTGCATTAGTAGGGTATTCTCATGGGTATCCCGTAATGATTCAAAGAGGATCGTTTGTGTGAAGGTAGGGCCAAGGATCTGAGAGTCAGTGTGATGGGTAATATCTGTGGCCATGGCAAGTTCTTTCTTCAGACAGTTTAGCCAGTTCAGCTTGAGGATGCTGTTGGCTCTTTGTATAGAACTTTATCACTGAGGATGGTAAGTCCAGTGGAATATTTGGCTGGTGTGTGTAACCTTTCCTATTTCCTGAATAATTTTGCCAGTGAAATGTGATCCTCTGTCACTAGAGGCAGTAGAGGGGATAACCCATGTGGGGAAGATTCACTCTTAATAAACCTTGGCAACCGATGTCCTTGAGGAGTTTCAACAGGGAAAGCCTCCCATTCTATTTTCCAGTGAAGGAAGCCTATTTTCCAGTGAAGGAAGGATGTAGAGGGAGCCACTTCCCTTTTTTGCCCCACCTTTATGCTTTTTGGAGGATTATGTTGTTGGTAGATGCAGCAAATGGCAACAGCTTGGTCCAAATAAAATCTAAAGAGTCCAAGCCATATTGTTTTGTTTAATATATACTACATGTTATCCTTTCTGTGGTAAATCTGGATGAGCAAATTGTACACAATGACTTGGGAGACAGACTTAGGAGTTATCAAATGGCCATCTGGGTATTTCTGAAGTCCACTTAAGTGGATCAAACATTCACCTTTTTCTCATCCAATTCTTTCTGACTCTGAAATTGTTATCTGGGCTGTGTGAATTTTACATTTCCTTTAGAGGCATTGTAAAGACATTGCTTCTGTCAATTTATTTAAAGAGGGTAAATAATCCTAGCAGGACTGTGGGTATTTGAAATGAAGCCCAGGTATCTAGTCACAAGGTTTGGAGACTTCCTGGATTTCTTAGGCGGCCAAGGAAGAGGATGCTAGCTTAGCACCTTTATCAGCCAATTTATTTCCCTGAGCCTCATCTGAGTATTTTATACTATATCCCTCAGCTTTAACTGTAACAACTAGCTGGGGCAATAGCAATGACTCTAGAAGTTCTGCTATTTGGGGTTTACTTTTGACTGGGGACAAGTTGCTGTCATGAATCCTCTCTGTTTTCAAAACATACCAAAATCATGCACTACACCAAAGACCCAGTGTCTGTCACTGTAGGTGCTAATCTTAATTCCCTCTGCCTTATATAAGCCTGAATGAGAACAGTTAATTTAGCCACTTTGGCTGATTTAACGTGTGGCAAAGCTTGGCATTCAAGAGTTTTGTGTAGATGAGTGATGGCATATCCAGGCTGGAAGGTCCCAACCTCCTTCCAGAAGTAGGAGCGATTGACATAGAGCATCAGGTCGACTTAGGAGAGAAGGGTTTCTGACATATCTAACCTAAATGAGACAGTGATCTGGTTTCAGTAGCACCATTGTGTGTGTGTGCTGAGGGGTTCCCTTAGTGGACAAAATGTACAGGGTAGCAAGGGATTTTTGGCAGCAAAGGATTGTGATTGGGTGGGGAGGCATAGTGATATTTCATGAGAAGTAAGTCGAGAAGCAAACGAGTGCTGTGTGTTTTCATTAAGTAATAGGGTCAACACAGCATGGGAACATACACATCAAGTGGGCGGCCTAACACTAAATCAGAAGTAGCCTGGATGAGTTGGAAGTCATGGCCACTGTTTGTAGGCCAGGAGGATATGCTTCAGCACTGGCTGGTTTTGTGGGAAAACAGAGAGAAAGACATGGCTGAGTCTCATGGTGCTCAGAGAAGGCCACAGCCTTGGGGTGCCGTGGTGACCACAAACACTTCCCCCATCCCATACCAATCTTTAAGAGCCTTTTCCTTCTTAAAGACCTGTCACTTAGCAAAGAGCTTTCAATGAACCCTCCCCTCTGGGCCACTTGTTGGATTGCAGCCAATCAGTGATGGAGGGCTGGACACAACTGTGGGATGCTGTGATTTGGTTTAGCCCTTGGGTCTAGAGTGCTCTGGGGTCCACTGTACTTCTGGGATAAAACGCCAAGGCCATGACTCTCTTGCTCATTTACAAACAAAAAATTGAGGGCTAGCTAAACAAGGACAGGGTGGAAGCAGCTTTCTGTAAGACACACCCACCAGTGTGCCCTGTCAGTTTACCATTGCCATGGCAACACTCAGGCATTACCACCCCTTTCAGCAGCAATGACCTGATGACCCAAAAGTTACCACCCTTTTCCTAGCAATTTCTGCACAAACCACCCCTGAATCTACATGTAATTAAAAGCAGGTATACATATGACAGCAAAACTGGGCTCAGCTGCTACTCTCGGCACCCTGCCTATGGGGCAACCCTGGGAGCAGTCACTGAGCTGTGACCCTGCAGGAGCTGTAACAGTGCTGCTTTGATAAAGGTGTTTTCTTCCACCTTACCACTGGCTCGCCCTTGAATCCTTTCCTGGGTGAAGCCAAGAACCCTTGCAGGCTAAGCACCACTTTGGGGTTCGCCTACCTTGCATCAGCATCAGGTTTTTTTTTTAAACTTGTAAAATAGTTTTTGTGACTCTGTCATGTATTTTGCAGTCATGAACTAACATTTTTTCCCTCAATTGTCAGTTGCAGTTTCCTCAAAGATCATTATAAATACTCCTTAACCTACAAAGTTTGGCAGTCACAGCCTACTCTTTGAGGAACAGCCTGACTCACCATCAAGTGGCTCCTCAGGTGGTTTTACTTCCCATGTTTCCCATGTGAGGTACTAAGCCTCAGTGATTCCTGGCAAAACTTGTATTCTCTGTTAGTATTGCGCTAACTTTGGAGTGAGTTTCTTTTGGTGAGTAATAATTTTAGTCAATGATACTACTGATTATTTTATCTTTTTTTAGGCTTATGATGAATACCTGATTTATGATTAGTATGTTTTTCACTTTTACACATTTCAAGGAAGGAAACAAGAACAGACAGAAACACAACATACTTCATGAAACCACATTTTAGCATCCTGGCCGAGTATTCATCACTCAGCAAGATAGAGAGACATAAACTATTTCTAGCAAGAATACTTCATAAATGATGAATAGAAGAAAAATAGAAGTCCTAAAAATCTTGCAGAACTGTCTTAATTTACTAATATATTTACACTGTATCCTAAGTCACTCTCTAGCTTCTTGCTCTAAGCATATGAAATGTAAGAGCTAATGGGAACCCCAGTGCCTGTATAAATAACAAGAACCAGCATGTCTTTATTTATGGCAGGGAATACTCTACAACCTGGGACAGATGCCACTCTGCTTCAGTTTGGGGAAGCTCCTCACTTTACCATCCTGACGTTGAATAAATGATTCAAAGGCAACCTGATGCAACCTGAGCCACTGGATGGCTTCTGTAAATAAAGTTATCTCACCTGCCATTCATTACAGAGAAAACAAGAAATAAGGCACTACATGTCATATTTGTCTAGATCCTATACATATTTAGGTTCACATTAAAATGAAGAGAAAACAACATAGGCTGAGAATCAGAAAACCTGAACTCTGTCCCAGCTCAGCTACTGACCAAAGAGAATTAATGAATCGCTTTAAATGTCAGTTTCTTCATTAAGCATCGTAGAGAATGTCAAAACCAAGTTTACAAATACTGTCATTCCAAAACCACACAACTCAAATATAAATAATCTTTATAAGGTAACAAAAATGTACATAATACTTTACATAAACATTTTTAGAATAACTTTATTATAACTCGATAAGCAAAATAATCCAAACCTTTATACATTTCTACAAGGATAGTCATGTATGTCAATTTTTGGGTTTCCTCTCGTGCCTATTTTGTCTCCTGAGCCGGCCCCTTTCCAGCTGACACATGTGCTCCGTGTTCTCCCACAATAGCCTGATCTGGCCTGAGTCCACGCCCCTGTGAGCCTCCTTTCTTTGCTTACAACAGCAGCCTGCCTGATGTCAGTTATGGACTATTCTTTTTTTCAGCCTCGTTTCAGGGTCCCCTGCCTCTTAGAGCTGCTGCTGTAGCTTAGCTAGAGACCCGCTGCTGTTGCATCATGGAAAAGTGCCACATATGTGCACATGTGAAAGAATACGCAGACCTTCATGTTGTGTTTTAGTTTTAGAAAAAGTCAGAAGTAGCTTCACTTGATTTCAGCTTGTAAAGACATAGGAGGGAGGCAACTGGGAATCACCGTTGCAAAAAGCAAACATCAAAAATCACATTAAAATGCTGAAGTGTTGTGGAGCACAAACCTAGCTTTATTGGATCAAGCATTCGTGAGAGTTCTTCTACTTGCTTTGTTATGCTTTCTATCAGACAGGGCTCATTCTCTGTCTTTTTTTTAACATATTCATTTTTTTCCTTTGGTCTGTTTAGATTATTATCACATCTTATGTTTTAAAACTAGCAAAATATTATGTGTAAGTCATGAAGACAGTGTAAGAAATAATAAAATGAACACTGATGTACACATTACCTGCCTAAGAATAAAAAACTACCCGTATTTTTAGAGTCCTTAACACTGTCCTGTTAATGAGTCCCATTTCTTATCTTTATAATTTTGCCAAAATAAATGCATTAGTAAAGGACATTGAGCATTATTGTTTCACATATTTTTCAGTTTAAACAAATGGAATCACACTGAATATATTTTTCTGAAATTGCTTTTTGGTTCAATATTTAATTTGTAAAATTCATTCTTATGATATGTTTGTCTGTACTTTCTGTGCATTGATTTAGAGTATTCCATCACAGGATAATACTATAATGAGCATTCCATTTTATTAGATTGGGGTTATCCATTTTTTTCTATTACAAAACTAGATGTCCTTTTCTTGTATGAGTCTCCTGGACATAAAAGGTAGATTTTCTCTAAGGTATAAACCCAACATTCAAATAATTGTGTCAAAAGATTTGTATACTGTTGGTTTTACTACGTTAAAATGAACTGTTTTCCAATTTATGCTCCCATGAGAAGTTAAAGGTTCTGGTAGATCTATATTCTCAACAATACTTAATAGTATCAAACGTTTTAACGTTAGTCAACTTGGTTTCTCATTTGAATTGTAATCTGCATTTTTTAGAAGTACTGAATCAAGGTAAGAATCAAGTAATGAAAGACTATTATTTTAGTAAATAAAAATGCTGTAAAGACAATAAAGCAAATGAATGTAATCAAAAGTGGAGACGGGCTACTTCATTCTGATAGTCAAAGATGGCCTTGCTGGTCATCTGAGTTGAGAGGTGGCTAGTAAGACGAGAAGAGATGTTAAGTAGCTGTGGAAGGGGCCTGCTGGCACAGGGCATGCTCCAAAGCCCTGAAAAGAGGCAAACATTCTTTCCCTCTAAATACCTGAACTAAGTAAAAACAGTCCTGGCTTTGCACATTTGAATATGCACAGGTTTAATTAACATAGTTTAGTTAAATAGCACTAGTCTCCCAACAACCTGGTTACAATTTCGGTTACCACCATATGCTAACTGTGAGCAACTGCATAAAATCCAAACTTCATTCCCAGCTCTTAATTCCACAAATGCCTGTGTGAGTAAATAACAGACAAGCATCATGATCAGGGACTGTATTAATCTTGTGGGGATGCTGCAACAAAGTACAAAAAACCGGGTTGCTTAAAACAACAGAAATGTATTGACTCGTAGTTGTGGAGGCTAGAAGTCAAAAATCAATGTGTTGGTAGGTTCATGCTCTCTGCTGGCTCTAGGGGAGAATCCTTCTTCCCCTCTCCTTCCTGTTTGGGTTTGCCAGCCATCCTTGGTGTTGTTTGACCTACAGATATGTCACTGCATTTTCTCAGTGTGTCTTCACATCGTCTTTTTTGTGTGTGTGTCTGGAGCTGTATCCAAATTCTCCTTCACTATAAGACACCAGTTAGTCTATTGGATTAGGACCCACCCTAATGACCTCATTTTAACTTGAGAACCTCTGTAAATGTGCTATTTCCAAATAAGCTGATATTATTTGGAGATATTGGGGATTAGGATTTCAAACATATCTTTTTTGGGGAACACAATTCACTTCCTTCAAAGCCTGCCAGTGACTGATCAATGTGCATCAGCTAGTTCGCACACAGACAGCAAAGTCTGCAATCGTGTTGATTCCTTGTCTCCCAGTGAGAAACCCATGTGACATTTATAAATATGAATAATCAGAAGAAAAAACTTGTCAACAACCATTGATGTGCAGCAAAGAAATAAAAAATGTGATAACCCTGGAAGTGGATTCAAATACAATGTAAATGGAATCATAGAATTGGCTCACCACAGGAAACGCGGCAAGAGGAACTCGGCGCAACGCAGTGTTCTGACATAAATGAGGAACGCAGCTGTGATTAAAAGGATGAAGAAGCCCCAGAGGAAGTGATGCCGGCAAAGACAGCAACAAACTTCATATTAAAGGAACTCTTGTAGATATTGCATGACGTTGACAATGTTAGATGCTGTTCCGAAAACAGCACGACAGTTCACCAAGGCATAGAAACACTGCTGGCTCCTTATCATAAGCTATACGACAAGAGGGAGGCAAGCACTTTTCAAACTGGGCTTGATACACGTCTATAAATAAATAAAGCACTTTAATTGGCTGTTGTTTAATGTTTTAAATTACAGTGTATAAACTAAGTACTGGCCAGGCGTGATGGCTCACTCCTGTAATCCCAGCACTTTGCAAGGCCAAGGTGGACAGATCATGAGGTCAGGAGATCAAGACGATCCTGGGTAACACGGTGAAACCCCACCTTTACTAAAAATACAAAAAATCAGCCAGGCGTAGTGTCACGTGCCTATAGTCCCAGCCACTTGGGACGCTGAGGCAGGAGAATAGCTTGAACCCAGGAGGTGGAGGTTGCAGTGAGCTGAGATCACGCCACTGCATTCCAGCCTGGGCGACAGAGCAAGATTCCATCTCAAAAAAAAAAAAAGTACTAACTTCACTATGTTTCATTTCCTTATACATTTATAACCAACAGTAAGAGATTTTTAATGTTTTGGCCAAAATTTTTAAATGACACAGAACAGTCGATGTTTCACATGGATTGTTTAGGTCACTTTACAGATCTTCAGCTTGCATAGTGATTTGTATGGCCCTGCACTGCTGTGCAAAGAGAGGACTGTTTGTGTTCTTAACCAGTAAGAAGGAGGGCAAGAAAGAGGTTCTCAGCCAGATATTGCGTACGTAATAAAATGATGGGAGAGGGAATAACACTTTAGATATGAAATGTACCATGTGGGGAAGCTATTTGAACAACAACAAAATAGCTTAATTTAACCCGATGGAGTACACTCAGCCACCTTCTAGATGTCCCTGCTTATTCTTCAAATCTTCTCTTTTGTGGCCCCAAAGAATGATTCACTCTCTGGAGTGAAAAATAACCGTTGCTTTCTTTGCCTGGAACTTTAAACTGAGTTGTGCTGTATCATCCAAACCTACTCAATCCTCTCTTTTCCATTAATCAGTGAGGTCCAAAGGAGCCAAAGACAAATCTCTCCTGTTTTTCTTAGAAATGTAAAGATGTTGCATCTGTAACCACAGGCTGCTTGTAATCCTAAAAGTCAGCGTGATAATGAAATCCAGTGATTAATTTCTGTCTTCTAATCAATAAGTAGACATATCAATTTATAGTATGTTAGAAAGCCTCAACTTCACTGAAACAAAAAGCAAGAGGCTCTGCAAATGTTGGAGTGTGCTAAAGGAAAAGCATGGACTGATGTTTGGGGAAAGGTTGGTCAATGTGATGAGGCCATCTGTGTTTGCTAATAGTGCTTATCAAAATTAGGTTCCTACGCAGAGACAGAGACCAGGAGACAATCCTGTATCCTTCTTGATCCTTATAGTCCAAAGGGATGGCTCCCAAGTCTTTCAGAAAGACATTTCCATGTTGTAGGAGATTTAAAGGGGCAGAGAAAGGGTTTATAACTGCAGGTTATCTGTCTTTTTTTTTTTTTTTTTTCCAGACAGAATCTCACTCTGAGCACAATCTCGGCTCACTGCAACCTCCGCCTCCCAGGTTCAAGAGATTCTCCTGCCTCAGCTTGCTGAGTAGCTGGGATTGCGTGTGTGTGCCATGACGCCCAGCTAATTTTTCTCTTTTTAGTAGAGACAGGGTTTCACCATGTTGGCCAAAATGTTCTCGATCTCTTGACCTCGTGATCTGCCCTCCTCGGCCTCCAAAAGTGCTGGGATAACAGGTGTGAGCCACCACGCCTGGCCATTGCAGGTTTTCTAAAGTTAAACCTCTTAGAAATGGGAGGTCAGGGACCTATAGTCAAGTTTTGGGTGGGACAAACAGTAAATTCTTTTGGCAGAATTGAATGTTCCCAGGCAGGTGCTTTAGAGGGGTATGGGGCATCGTAGGGACGTGGCTCGGAGCTGATAGACACTGTGTTGGAATTTGGCCAAGTCTCTTAGTGTATGTATGAGGAGGAGGGATGTGCAGAAGAAGTTGTTTGTGCCAAGAATTTATGGTTTTCACAGGTTAAGACAGTGGTGCCTGGGATCATCTGCAAGGCATGAGTCAAATGTTGACACAATGATTGTTTGCAGACTCATCTGAGGGCTTAGGCAGATCTGGACCTGTTGATACTGAAGTTTCTGAAGGTAGAGGAAGAAAACATAATGTCTCAATAATATCTGAAGTAGGGGTAGGAAAACAGAGATTTAAGGAGGTGAGATCCCTTAAGGCCTCAGAAAGAAGCTTCACTTCTTGCGCCTCCCTTCAGAGTAAATGGGTCATTAAATTAGTTCTTTGTAACCAACCTGGGAATGATGGTGAAGAAGGGAATAATGAGAGGAAAAACTTTAAATAAGAATGCCTGAGAGATAATACTGGGTCAGTGGGAGAGAAAGAAATTTCCAAGAAGTTGTCATGGGAAAGGGCTCACGAATAATAAATAAAAAATTAGTTATTAATAATATAAATTAATATATGAAAAATAAATAAGACATCTGCCAACAGCCACACTTACAGCACTAGATGGATTTTAACTGAATTAAAACTTGAGTTTTTAATGAATTTTCTACAATCCAAAATTTATTTGTTTAATTTTTGTAACAAAACACCATTTCTTTACTTTTTGCAAAAGTAAAAGTAAAGTGCTATTTGTACTTTTTAAATAAAAACTAATTTTAAAGAAAAAAATAATTAGCTGGACGTGGTGGCAGGAGCCTGTAATCCCAGCTACTGGGGAGGCTGAGGCAGGAGAATTGCGGAGGTTGCAGTGAGCCCAGATGGCCCCACTTCATCCAGCCTGGGTGACAGAGCGAGACTCTGTCTCAAGCTTCTTCAGTACTCACATGTAAACTTCTACTTTCCCCTTCAGATTACAGCAACCATCATGCCAAAGCTATACACTCTCAGGGAATCCCTGTGGATTTCACTGATGACCACTTGACCAACTATTATAAAAATCAAGGCCAGGGGTTCTCAAACTCTCAACATTTGTGTGCTCATCTCCCCTTCACCCAGAGACTCCCCAGGGCTGCTGGGCCACGCTTTGTTTGGTTTGACTGGAACATAGCTCGAAAGGGATGGAAATTTCCAAGAGGTGTTAAGAGACACATAAATATTTCAAAGATTAAAATGAAAGAAATAAAGAAATGGGCATTTGTGAGCTTTGGTCATGAGAATGCAGGCCTCGCAGTACTTAACTACTTCCAAACCCCTGTCCAAAGAGAGGACCAAACGCTAGTGAGGCTTCCGGCAGCACAAGGGTGTCCCGCGGATGACCCCAGCCCTCTTAAAATGACTGCCTGAAAAAGCTCACTTGCAAAGAAAATTTACTGTTTGTTTCAGGCAAAACCTGGTGATGGGCAGGTAGAGCCCCGAATCCCCTCTTAGAACCTTAGAAAGCTTGCAATTATAAATTTTTCTCCACCTTTGAAGTGTAAATCTACATCCCAGAATTGTCTCCTCAAAGACCTGAGAGTTCTCTCTTTGAAATGCAAACATTCAGGAAGCTAACTCTTGCTCTTGTTGCCAGTTCCTGAGGGAGGGGAAAGGCCTAGCTTTGGCGAGCACCTTGTTCCAGCTTGCACCTCTGACTCTTTTATTGCCATGAAAATCAACATGTAGACTTTTTTCAAACCCAATGACAGCCCATTACAATGGAGGCCATAGCAATGGAGGTCTCTACATGCAAAAAAAATGGTGGGACAGTTTCCTGATAACAGGTCAACTTTATTCCAAGGATAAGCATGTCATGAAATTATTGGATGGCAGATTATGCTTATCTATGGTCTTCCTTTTTCTCCTTGGTCTCATCCCAATAACTTACAGATCCTTTAAAGGCAAAGGCCAAATATTCAGCTAAGTTAGGTATACTTTAGATGCCAATATCAATTTTAGCTATATGGGAGATCCTACTTAAGATATTGAGGACGATCATGTGTGTACAGGGCAAAAAAGATGGGACAAAGAGATAAGAAGGGGATGGGAAATCACACCCTCCCTCCGCACCACAGACCATGACCTGGGGCAGGTCCTCTAACACCAAGCCCACCCAGGCCCCATCTAACAGTATGCCGCATTCTACATGACCTCAGAGTTCTTTCGGAATTCCAGCTGAAAAGCTGAAAAGCAATACTATATAGTTGTGGTTTCCAGCTGGCCCATGTTAGTATGTATAGCTTTTCTTCCTCGCCATGAAAGCACTATGGGAGAACGAAGCCCGATGCTGGGCATGCTTTGCCAGGTGGGTGCTGCTGAATCACAGACCTCAGCAACTGTGTTCCGCCTCCACAGAGGCCGGAGATGTTTGTTTCCCCAGTGTGTTCGTATATTTCAGCCAGTTTCATGCACTTTGCCCTCTCAGTTTGCTTCACTTTCTGGCTCAGTGAACCTGACCTGCAAGTCTCCCTGCAGTTTCCCTCAGCAAGTGCTCACTGGGCAGCCCCAACATGTGAGAAACGGCTGTAGGGTGCACAGAGGTGAACTAAATTACTAAAAACTATTACTTTACTAAAATGCTTCCTGGATTCCAAAACTCACCAACTGGGAGAAAGGTCAGACACACACGGAGACAACTCATCTACACAAATGATCATCAGTGATTTAAAGAAGGTACAGCAGAGCGAGACTCCGTCTCAAAAAAAAAAGAAAAAGAACGTACAGGAGATCATGGAATAAGAACAAGAAGAGATTACTTTCCAGGGCTCTCAGAAAGTTTCTAAAAAGAGGTGCCATTGACCCTGACCTTAGCATTGTGATGGAGACATTACAGAGCTGGTAGGAAGGAGAAGAAGAAGGAACGGCTGGAACACACTTGGGGTGAAATGAGCAGCATTTCAGTGTGGGAGCTGCAGACTCAGTTTTGGTGGAAGAGTTAAGAGCCAGGATCTTGTCAGGAATAATTCTGTGTCCAAGTGCAGAATCGTGGTTTGCTCCACTACTGCCAGTAACTCCATTTCTCAATCATGATGGTGATGCTTTTTTTTTTTTTGGCTCCCAATCCCGGAGAGTGGCCATACTGAAGTCACATTACAACAATTAACTTTTCAACTATTAGATGATTAATTTTTACCAAGTAGCAAGAACAGCTGTTTGGCACGTAGCAGTGTGGCATGAGTATCTTGTAAATGAATTAAACAAAATATCTCTCCAACACACACACAGTCATTCTTGCTGCATGTCAGCCTCCACTTCTCCCTCCATTATTTGATGCTGTGAAGCTGAGGCAGCCAGCTTGAGCGAAAGCTTTCAGATCTCACTCCAACAAAGAGCTTTGATTGATTCATTTAGTATAAGGTGTTTTATCTGGCTAGAGAAATCCAAGCTGAGTTTTATTAATTACTAAGAAAAGTATGCAATAGATTAATCTTTGATCAAAACTATGTGTGAAGTAGAAACATATTACACATATGGAGAGCAGTTTTATGGAATAAAAACAATCTATGTGTGGCATAACTGACATTGTCTTTATATTTTTGGGGGGGTGTGTGAGTACGGAGTCTCACTCTGTCGCCAGGCTGGAGTGCAGTGGCACAATCTTGGCTCACTGCAATCTCCACCTCCTTGGTTCAAGCAATTCTCCTGCCGCAGCCTCCTGAGTAGCTGGGATTACAGGTGCCTGCTGCCATGCCCAGCTAATTTTTGTATTTTTAGTAGAGACGGAGTTTCACCATGTTGTCGAGGATGGTTTCAATCTCCTGAATTCATGATCCTCCTGCCTCGGCCTCTCAAACTGCTGGGATTACAGGCGTGAACCACCTTGCCTGGCCTATACATAATTTTTAAAACAGATACAGAATATATAGATAGCTTAACAATTATAAAATTGTATTTATCAAGTAGGTCACGAGGTAAACATTTTACGCTATGCAAAAGGGAGCAAACCTCCGAATTTGTCATGCAGGGTCACTAGTGGAACTCACAGCAACAGGTCTGATAAAGCAGAGGAGGGAACCGGGCTTCCGTGTGCTTTAGAGAGAGTGAAACATGAGGAGTCACAGGCAGAGAAAACTGTTTTTCAGAAAGAAAAGAAAGGGGACATGACAGCCCAGCAGTAGGGTGAAGAGGGCCTCTCCGTGGGTGCCGCTGGCTTGAGCTGCTGTAAGTGGCTGTGCCGGGAACAGAGGATCTGTATAGGAGAATGGGGAAGGGAGTGCTGGAACCGGGGGTGGGCAGGAGCAGCAGTCTGGAGACCAGAATGACCTAGGGTTTCCTCTCATGCTCCCATTCCCAGTGTTTCACGTGTGTAAAGTAGCAAGCATGCATATACTGCTTAGAGGCATCTACACTTAACATACTACACTCGTATACAACACTTGCATCGTACAAAGTACACATAGTAGGTGTGGCATGTAATAAGTTACCCTCCTATATTTTCTTCTAAAAGATTTTTAAATATTTGCATCTCAAATTTAAGTCCTTTGTCCATTTAGATCTGGCCTTTGTGTGATAGCGATCCATTTTTGGGATAGAGATCCATTCTGATATTTTCCCATATGGATACCAACTGCTCATACCATGGATTATATAGACCCTTTCTGACTGTTCTGTAATGTTAGCCAGGGCATACATCAAGATTTCACACAAGCATACACTTTCACAATAGCAATTCCTGCTGTGGTAATTATAACTTCACAGTAAATCTGGTACGTGATAGACTCACATAAGCTCCACCTCCCACCTTCACACACTTTAGTCTTCTATGGGATTGTCTTAGTTATACTGGGCCCTTTTATCTTCCGTATAAGCTTTGGAAGCAGTTTAGTGACAATGGTACTCTTGTCTTTTTCTTGATTTTAAAAGGAGTGATTTCGATATTTTTAATCACAAAACATGATAGGTGCTGTAGGTTATTTGTTGACTCCTTTTATCAGGTTAAGGAAATTACCCTTTATTCATAGGTGGAAATATCATGAATTATTTAATTTTTGTAAAATAATTTTATAGGCCTTTTGAGACAATCATATAACTTTTGTCTTTAATTCATTGATAAGGAGATGATTTCAGTAGATTTTCTAACATTGGACTAAATTTGTATTACTAACCGAGCTTGTTCATGGTTTTTATACTTTGCTAGGTATACTTCCTAGTATTTTGTTTACAATATTTGTCTCTGTGTGCATGGATGAGGTACACAATAGCAAGGTTACCCTAGTCTCAAATGAATTGAAGAATGGCCTCTTTTTTCTCCCCTCGCAAATAATTAGTGTAACATTGGAACTACTTGTGACATCATCTGGGCATCCTGTTTTCTTTGTAGAATTATTAATTATCAACTCAATTACTTTAATGGTATGATTTCCATCCAGATTTTCTAATTATTTGAGTCAACTTTAATAAGTTAAATGTATCCAAAAATTTGTTAATCTCACTTATTTACAAATGCATATATTTAATTGTCTTATTACTTAATGAAATAGATCATAAATATAAAAGTGTGTATGTACAGCTTAAGAAGAATATAAAATGAGCATATGTGTCCTTCCTTCAGGTTATGAAATAGAATATTTCCAGTATCTTAGAAACTCCCATTGCCCTTCTACAATGCCACTCACTCCTTCCACAAGAGGTAACCACTATCCCTAACTTCCTGTTAATCATTCCATTGCTTGTCATTACAGACTTGTATATTGTTTAGTTTTGCACATTTGACTTTTTAAATAAGTGAAACTATGTATTGTTTCTTATGATCAGATATGCATACACACAAACATGTATATGTATGTATATATACACACATACACACATTATTTTTAAGAGCAGTTCAAAGTTCACAGCAAAACTGAGCAGCAGGTATAGATTTCCCATATACTCCCTGTCCCCCACACATGCATAGCCTCCCCCATAATAAACATCCCCCACCAGAGTGGTGCATTTGTTACAATTAAAGAACCTACATGATACATCTTATAGTTTGCATTAAGGTTCACACTTGGGCTTGGACAAATTTACAATGACAAGTATTCACTATTAAAATATCATACACGTACTTTCACTGCCTTAAGCATCCTCTGTGCTCTGGTTATTCATCCCTCTCTTCCTCCTAACTCCTGGGAACCACTGATTTTTTTTTCTATTTCTATAGTATTACCTTTTCCAGAAGGTCATAAAGTTGGAAGTGACATATGTAGCCTTTTTAGATTGGCTTCTTTCATTCTGCAATATGCATGTAAGCTTCCACTGTGTCTTTTCATGGCTTGACAGCCATTTATTTTATCATTGAATGGTATTCAGTTGTCTGGATGTAATACAGTTTGTTTAATTATTCACCTACTGAAGGTAATCTTGCTTGTCTCCAAATTTTTGCAATTATAAATAAAACGTCCATAAACATCTGTGTGCAGGTTTCTGTGTGGACATAAGTTTTCAACTCCTTTGGGTATATACCAAAAAACAAGATTGCAGGGTCGTATAATAAGAGTAGATTTAGTTTTCTAAGATGCCACAAAACTATTCTCCATTTTGTATTTCCATCAGCACTGAATGAGAGTTCCTGTTGCTTCACATCCTCATCAGCATTTGGTGTTGTCAGAGTTCTGGATTTTTGCCATTCTAATATGCATGCAGTAGTATCTCATTGCAGTGCTGTGTTTGAGAATGTGAGTAGCTGCAATTCATTCACTCTTAGTGCTGCGAGGTACTCTATTATTGGAATATATGATCATTTAGTTACCTATTCCACAATCTACCCATATTGAGAGATAACTGGATTGTTTCCAGGTTTTTAAAATTGTGAACATTCTCATATATCCCTAGGTAAACAAATGCAAGAATTTTTCTGGGGCCTGTAACAGGCTGACTAGATTGCACTAGGTTGTAGTGAAGCCACTGGGTCATAGGGTACATGCATGATCAGCTGTATGAGCTAACATCCGTTTTCCAAATGGCTGTCCTTCTACTTGCATGGGATGAATGCTTCCACGGTTCTTTATCCTTGCCAATACTACACCTTTCAGAACTTCCAAAAAATTTTGTCAATATGTGTGAAAGGGTATCTAATTGTTAATTTTCATTTTCATGATTATTATTAGGTTGAGCACTTTTTCACATGCTTATGGGCTATTTATGCTAACTTCTTGAGGTGTTATTTTTCACTTATTAATTTATAGGAGAGCTTTATATATTCTGGATACTAAACCTGTCTAGGTAACATGTGTTGCAAATATCTCTGCCAAGTTTTGCATATTTTTTTCTCATTGCGGTATCCAATAAACAGAAGTCTTAAATTTTTATGTGATCAAGTTAGTTTTTACTCTTGCCGTTTGTTCTTCTTCCCTATGTAAAGATAAAAGAGATGCTCCACAGTTTTTTTCTAAGAATGTTGAGAAGGTATCTTTATCCATTAAAATATATTTTTAGGTTTGGTCTATGGGATTAAGTTTCAATTTCCTTTTTTCCCCCTTATGGAGACCAGTGGTCCCAGTGTTGCTTATTGTAAAATTTACTATCTTCACTTAACCACAATAAAAGCTGTGTTACAAAATATGTTTCCAAGTATGTGTGAAAAATATATTTATCTTTATGATTCTACTCAGATTAATTAGCTCTCAGGACTGCTGTGTCCAGAGTTGATTCCTTCTGGTGGGTTCGTGGTGTTGCTGACTTGAAGAATGAAGCTGCCGACCTTCACGGTGAGTGTTACCGCTCTTAAAGATGGCAAGGACCCGAAGAGTGAGCAGTAGCAAGGTTTATTGGGAAGAGCTAAAGAACAAAGCTTCCACAACGGGGAAGAGCACCCACGCAGGTTGCTGCTGCTGGGGTGGGGGTGGGGGGGTGGCCAGGTTTTATTCCCTTATTTGTCACGTTTCTATCCTATCAGAGTGCCCTTTTTTCAATCCTCCCTGTGATTGACTACTTTTAGAATCCTGCCGATTGATGCGTTTTTACAGAGCTTGCTGATTGGTGTGTTTTACAGAGCGCTGATTGGTGTGTTTTACAGAGCATGGATTGGTGCGTTTTACAGAGCGCTGATTGGTACATTTCACAGAACTCGTGAGACAGGTAAGTTCCTGATTGGTGCATTTTACTATCCTCTGGTAAGACAGGAAATTTCCCCAAGTCCCCACTCGACCCAGGAAGTCTGGCTGGCCTCAGCTCTTGCTACCAGAGGCTAATTTCCACCCTGGTATTTCTCAGGCCCATAGATAGTGTGAATTCAAACCCAAACCAATATGGCTATTGTTTTGTATTTAGAAATTATCATACGTTTTTTATTTTTCATTTTTTTGTCTACCCTATTGGGACCAAGACAAGCACATATTTTCACTTTCTTATGGGGGTGGGATTTTCCTAGCCCAGGCACTTAACGTGCTTCTTTTTAGAAATCCTAGATTTATGCAGGAGGCATTTTAGCCTATATTCCTCCCTGCATGGGCATCAGTCTCTGTTTCCTGAATTAGGTGCTCATGGGTCTGGGCCAGTAGGTCCTGGGAGACACCGCAGGGCAAATGCCAGATGAGACACTCACACCTCTGGATTCAGACTTTTTTTGCTCTTCTAGATATCTGAAAATTTGCCTTACTTTGACTCAGCCCATGCATTAAAGCAGATGCTTTTAAATATTTTATGATGCATGTTTTAGGAAAGGGTCTGTCTGGGTATTTCTTCTTTCGATTTGCATTTTTCATTCAGTTCTTCTTTCACACTATCCTAAGCATTAATCAACTCGCCATTTATGTCAGTACAAAACTTCACTATCCTGTTCATTATCACCATTTCATTTTGTTCTGCATAGGCCAGACTATTTATCTAAAAATGTTTAAAGAAATCTAAGGCCTTAAAGGATTCTTTCTCAAGGACTCTACTGTTTGTATTTAGAGAAATGCTCATTTGTTCCACTGTTTTACTTTCTTCTTGGGTCACGCTCTTTGATGACTGCGATCTTACAGAGGATGACAAAAGAGGGTCCACCCTGAGACAGTAATACCTGCTTGCCCCTTTGGATTTTATTAGTGTTATCAAAATATTAATAAAATGTCAAAAACAAATTACTATCATTAGAATGTGTGCCTCACTTAAAAATTTCTCTCTCTAATAAGAAGTTTTTGTTTCCTAGTTCCTTTGGTACCCTAATGTTTAGGTAAATATTCTCTGAGGAAAGGATGTGGAAGTCATAGCAAAATATATGCTGGACTTGAATGAAAATATCTGTTTCATAAAAGTTAAGCAGGCAACCAAAATTTACCTTTTTTAACCTAAATTATCTAAACATGTATTTACATTTCTGCTTCATTGAAAGATATTTGACATTAAATGTCCCTGAGACAGATTTTGGAATGCCCTCTCCTTCTAAAATATATTTTTTATCTTTTGTGGACTAAACAGTTAGTTAAAAATGAACTTAATGATTGCTAATTACTAAGTTATCTAAACAGTTATTTAAAAATGAACTTAATGATTGCTACTTAGTTATTTATAATGCATTTCAAAATTAACTTTATCATCTAAACCTTTTAACACAAATGTATTAAATTATGAAACAGGGAATTGGCTATTTTTGTTCAAATGTTTATTCTCATCAAACTTAAAATATCACTCAGCTATATGATTAAAAATGAAGGCTTCAGTCATTAAATTATTTCCCAGTTATTTGCGATATTTCTCCATATTAAAGGAACAAACAGTGCCCTTCGAATCTGTTGATAGTTCTATTGATAGTGGCCATCACAAGTTACACATTATCAATAAGGTCAAGGCACAAATAAAATTTCTCCCTTGCTTTTCACTCAAAAACTACAAGTATAGTTCTTTGATAAGATGTCCCAATCATGATTTGTGATGCCAATCATAGAAGGAAAGAGGATGTTGAGAAACAATAAAATAGCTACTTTAAAATGTTCTGTGCCGGAACATTTTGATGGCAATATTGGTCATATTATAAATTTGAAAATATAAATTTTAATCTAGATTGACTTTATTCTACTAGTGATTTTAAGAGCTTTATCCAAGAGAAACACTTACATTTTTATTCCTAATGTTTCTTTAAAAATGTGAAACTCCTTTTTTTTTTTATAATTTTAAAAATTCCTAGATAAGCAGAACATAGAGCCAACTGTTATGTTCTGGTTGTTTTTAATAGGTATATTTATGTTATCCCCCAAATTATAATTTATTAATGTCTAACTTCAGTTAGATGAGTTGATTACTTTTCATACACCATTGACTAAAGGAAACCTAATTTTACACGTAATTCAAGGGGATCTGTGAGTAAGAACATTTTTAAATTAAAGCAACACATGTGCATGGAAAATCATTCAAACAGTTTGATGGCAAAAAAATCAGTGGAAACCAGAAACTTTTTTTTTCCTTCCACAGACCTTGGTCCTGTTTTTCAGAGTTAGGCAGGTTTTATCATACTCTTTTTTTTACTATATGCTATTCTCTTGAACTGTAAATAATATTATATAATCACCTAATTTGTTTTATCAGTTTTAAGTAATATCCCTTGACTTTTTATGAACGATAGAGAATATAGCTCATTTACCCTACTTTCTTTTCTTTTTTCTTTTTTCTTTTTTTTTTTTTTTTTTTTGAGACGGAGTCTCACTCCCTCACCCAGGCTGGAGTGCAGTGGCGCTATCTCGGCTCACTGCAAGCTCCGCCTCCCGGGTTCACGCCATTCTCCTCCGCCAGCCTCCTGAATAGCTGGGACTACAGGCGCCAGCCACCACGCCCGGCTAATTTTTTGTATTTTTAGTAGAGACAGGGTTTCACCGTGTTAGCCAGGATGGTCTTGGTCTCCTGACCTCGTGATCCGCCCGCCTTGGCCTCCCAAAGTGCTGGGATTACAGGCGTGAGCCACTGCACCTAGCCCATTTACCCCACTTTCTTCTTCTAAAACTATATTTCCAATTTAGTCTTTAATATATAATTTTAAGGGATTTTTAAAAATTTGCTTCCTCTAAATAATATACTTACAGTGCTTAATTCTTTGCTTAAATAATATATTGTTTAAATATACAGTCCATCCAATTTGAACACCACTGATTGGCTCAGTAGGATGTGGAGATTAGTGTACAACTTCCCTCCCCTCCAACAGTCCCTGTCATAGCTTTCGACTTGTATCAAATATGGTTCTATACTTATATTTTCACATTTTATGTAAATTACATCCTATTTTGTAATTATAATAAAGTCTGTGCTTTGTTCATAGGTTAATTTTGATCATGGAATCTCAGGTGAATTGACAGCATCATTATTATGTTTTCTTTTTTTTTCAAACCACAGTCGCAGGTGGCATGATTTGATTTGTGTGAAGGCAATGAAATGATACACAGATACACCGAAGCCTCCCAAAAGAATCCTGGTTCCAAGATTCAAGAAGATGGATTAATGTTTTTCCATTAATTGTTGGAATTTATGCCATTTTTTTACTATGTGCCATCAATTTTAAAGCACTTCTGAAAAGAGATAACAATCTACAATAGCTGGCATTTTAAATTCATAAAAATATAGTATTTTCTTCTATTTTTATACATTTATGATGCATTATTTCTTATTTCCCAGGAATTTTACTACCTTTGTTTTGAATGATTAAAAAGGAAACATAGCACCTTTTTTCAACACATCACCAAGATAGCCTAGTTAATATTCTTCTCTTTCTGAAGTAGTTGAATTGGGATAGACAGCTTGCCAGGCCTGCTGCCACTTGTCAGCATCGCATCCCTACATTCAACCACACTTGCATCTAACGACCGTCTCTTTCATTAAATTTCTTTTGCACCTTTTCTTCCTGAATGAGTGCATGATAGTTAATTTTCCTGTGCACTTGCATGTCTCAAGAAGGTTTTAATTCTTTTTGTATTGCATTAATATTTAAGTTAAGTTTATAATTGCAAAATGATTTATACTCACAACATTGAAGACTCCTTTGTTTTGTTACATCCTGTCAAAATGATGAGAAGACAGATCATCCTTTAGGGAAAAATTGGTTTTGATTGGCATCAGCCTTTCCAACAGCAATGCTGGAGACAAGAATAAAATGAAGTAATATTTTTCAAGGATTAAAAGGAAACAATTTTTAATCCTTGAATTATTTGCAGCCAAAATCTTTTAAATATGAAAGCACAGAAAAAGACATTATAAAGTAAGGCCTCAAAAGTTTTATTTCAAATAAATCCCTTTGAAAATGCCTAGAGGACATACTCCACTAAGAAGAGAAATACACCGTGGTGTTAGAATTGAGGGTTCCAGAATCAATGGTAGTGGTGTTTATCATACCCTAAAACATACATGAAAACATAACATATTGAAAACAACTCCGAGTAAACTTCAGAAAGTACCACCTTAGACAAAGTGCTGTCGTAACAGAGAAAGCAAACCAGAGGTGGCAAGAGGAGGCTAGAGTACTTATTTGGTTTGCTGAGATGATATTAATTTTGACACATGGAGGAAATTGAGAAAATTAACAAAAGTAATGACATAACCACCATTACAATGTTAAAAATTTCCAGATTTCAAACAAATGAAAAATTTTTGATCTATAGAGTGAGAGGTACAAATAGGAAAAAAGACACAGTAAAGTATGAAAAATCATAAATGAGATGACAGAAAGAAGTCATAATGGAACAATAATTACATAAATCAAAGGTTAAGATTGTCAGGTAAAATTTTTAAGTGTCAAAAAACACAATATAACCTATCGAAAATAAATTAGTGGAAAAAATGTAGCAGGAAAATATGAATAAAAAGAGCTAGGTCCAATTTTTGATAAAAATTTGAATTCAAGTTGATAATATCCTAAAGAAGGAAAAGTCTGTAGGCCAATAGAAGAAATAGCAGATGCAGAGGTGTGCTCACAAACATGAGTGCTCATGACACTAGTCATACAAACTCAAATTCCCATTACAGTTGTATACAAACATGATGGCCGACAAGAAGGAAGTTCCTTTAAGCCCACTTGGAGCATTAAGACAAATTTACCATGTGAATCCCTAATTGAACTCTGAGTTACTTCTGTGAAGGAATGAAGAATGATATCATAAATGAATTTCATATAGCACTCAAAGCTCCCCCTCTATATGGTTCAGGATAGACTTGAGTATCCACGGTTCTGGAGTGCAAGGGAGGAGAAAGGAAAGGTGCATTCAGACAAAAAAAAAGTGTACAGAACACACCACGGATATCAGAAGAGGCTGCTCATGGCAAGGCGTGGTGGCTCGTACCTGTAATCCCAGCACTATGGGAGGCCGAGGTGGGTGGATCACCTGAGCTCAGGAGTTCAGGACCAGCCTGGGCAGCAAGGCGAAACCCCATCTCTGCCAAAAATACAACAAAATTAGCTAGGCATAGTGGCACATGGCTGTGGTTCCCATTACTTGGGAGGCTGAGGTGAGAGGATTGCTTGAGCCTGGGAGGCAGAGGTTGCAGTGAGCCCAGATCGTGCCTCTGCACTCCAGCCTGGGCAACAAAGTGAGACCCCGTCTCAAAACAGAACAAAACAAAACAAAACAAAAAAAGAGGGTGATCAAGACCAGACTCAGCTCCTAGGCCTTGAACTCCAGTCCCACCTCACACCCTAAGGTTCCTAAAGAATCAGTAACTTAGTTCACCCTACCCCACTCCTGGCTTCTAGATGTAGCACAAGTTTCTAAACATGCAAACAATGAGGACTATCTATTTTGACAAAATAAGAAGAAATGGAGTCAAGGCAACATATAACATATTTTTGCCAGTTCTATTGATTAACAGAAAAATTGTATATAGTTAAGGTGTGCAGTGTGTTATTTTGATATACATATACATTGTGAAGTGATGATTACCACAATCAAGCTAACATATTCATCACCTCACCTGGTTACCTTTTTATTTGTGTTTGTGTGGTGGAGAACACTTGAGATCTACTCTTTCAGCAAATTTCAAGTATACATTATTATTGACTTTAGTCACTATGCTGTACATTAGATCTCCAGAACTTATTCATCTTATAACTGAAAGTTTGTACTTTCTGACAAACATTTTTTCTTTTCCCCCAACTCCCAGGCCCTGGTAAGCACTATTTTACTCTGTTACCATGAGTTTGACATTTTCTTAGTATGCATATAAGTGAAATCATGCAGGATATTTGTGTGTGTGTGTTCCTGGCTTATTTTACTTACCATAATAAACTCCAGGTTTGTCCATTTTGTTACAAATGGCAGTATTTCCTCATTTTTAAAGGCTAAATGATATTCCTTGTGTGTGTGTGTGTGTGTGTGTAATACATTTAAAACATCCATCTGTCAATGGACACAGGTAGTTTCCATATCTTGGCTGTGTACATAACACTGCAATGAACATGTAAGTATACATATCTCTTTGAGATAGTGATTTTCTTTACTTTGGATATATACCTAGATGGGGATTGCTGGATTATATGGGAGTTCCATTTTTAATTTTTTGAGGAAAGTCCATACTGTTGTCTCTAATGGCTGTACCAATTTACATTCCCATCAACTATCAACTAAGCACAAGGGTTTCTTTTTCTCAATATCCTCAGCAACATTTGTTACCTTTTTACTGTTACAATAGCCATCCTAATAGATGTGAGGTGATATCTCATTGTGCATTTTCCTGATGATTAGTAATGGCAAACATCTTTTTCTTAGTATATACCTATTGTCAATCGTATGTCTTTTAGAAATGTATCTCTTCAGGTCTGATACGCTTTGGCTGTGTCCCCACCCAAATCTCATGTTGAATTGTAGCTCCCATAATTCCCACGTGTTATCAGAGGGACCCAGTAGGAGACAATTGAATCATGGGAGCAGTTTTCCCCATACTGTTTTTGTGGTAGTAAATAAGCCTCACAAGATCCGATTGTTTTATAAGCGATTTCCTTTTTCACTTGGCTTTCATTCTGTCTTGCCTGCTGCTGTGTAATATGTGCCTTTAGCCTCCCACCATAAGTAAGGCCTCCCCAGCCTTATGGAACTGTGAGTCCATTAAACCTCTTTTTCTTTATAAATTACACAGTCTTTGGTATGCCTTTATGAGCAGCATGAAAACAGATGAATACAGTAAATTGGTACTGGTAAAGTGGGGTGCTGCTGTAAAGTTATCCAAAAATGTGGAACCAACTTCGGAACTGGGTAATAGGAAGAGGTTGGAACAGTTTGGAGGGCTCACAGAAAGACAGAAAAACATGAGAAAATTTGGAACTCCCTAGAGACTTGTTGAGTAGCTTTGAACAAAATGCTAATAATGATATGGACAATGAAATTCAGGCTGAGGTTGTCTGAGATGGAGACGAGGAACTTGTTGGGAACTGGAGTAAAGGTAAATCTTGCTATGTTTTAGCAAAGAGACTGGCAGCATTTTGCCCCTGCCCTAGAGATTTGTGGAACTTTGAACTTGAGGGAGATGATTTAGGGTAGCTGGCAGAAGAAATTTCTAAGCAGCAAAGCATTCAAGAGGTGACTTGGGTGCTGTTAAAAGCATGCAGTTTTAAAAGGAAACGGCATAAAACTTTGGAAAATTTGCAGCCAAACGACATGATAGACAAGAAAAACCAATTTTCTGAGGAGAAATTCAAGCCAGCTGCAGAAATTTGCATAAGCAACAAGGAGCCAAATGTTCATCCCCAAGACAATGGGGAAAATATCTCCAGGACATGTCAGAGATCTTTGTGGCAGTCCCTCCCATCAGAGGCCAGGAGGCCTAAAAGGAAAAAATCCTGGGTTGGATTCAGGGGCTCCCTGCTGTGTGCCACTTTGAGACTTGATGCCCTGCATCCCAGCCACTTTAGCCATGGCTAAAAGGGGCCAAGGTACAGCTTGGACTTTGGCTTCAGAGGGCACAAGCCCCAAACCTTGGCAGTTTCACATGGTGTTGAGTCTGTGGGTGCACAGAAGTCAAGAACTGAGGTTTGGGAACCTCTGCCTAGATTTCAGAGGATGTATGGAAACACCTGGATGTCCAGGCAGAATTTTGTTGTGGGGCGGGTGGGGGGGGGTCCCTCATGGAAAACCTCTGCTAGGACAGTGCAGAACGGAAATGTGGGGTTGAAGCCCCTACACAGTCCCCACTTGGGTACTGCCTGCTGGATCTGTGAGAAGTAGGCCACCGTCCTCTGGACCCCAGAATGGTAGATCCACCAACAGCTTGACCATGCACACGGGAAGGCCACAGACAATGCCAGCTCATGAAAGCAACCAGGAGGGGGGATATGTCCTGCAAAGCCACAGGGGTGGAGCTGCCCAAGGCCATGGGAGCCCACCTCTTGCATAAGTGTGACCTGGATGCGAGACGTGGAGTCAAGGGAGTGCATTTTGGCACTTTAAGATTTGACTGGCCTGCTGGATTTTGGATTTGGGGCCTGTAGCCTCTTTGTTTTGGCCAATTTCAACCATTTGGAACAGGTATATTTACACCCTCCCTGTACCTCCATTGTATCTGGAAAATAACTGACTTGCTTTTGACTTTATGTTCTCATAGCTGGAAGGGACTTGCCTTGTCTCAGATAAGACTTTGGAGAGTGGACTTTTGAGTTAATGCTCAAATGAGTTAAGATGTTGGGGGACTGTTGGGAAGGCATAATTTGCTTTCAAATATGAAGACATGAGATTTGGGAGGAGCCAGGGCAGAATGATATGATTTGGCTGTGTCCCTACCCAAATCTCATCTTGAATTGTAGTTCCCATAATTCCCACATGTTGTGGGAGGGACCTGGTGGAAGACAATTGAATCATGGGGGCAGTTTCTCCCATACTGTTCTCATGGTAGTAAATAAATCTCACAAGATCTGATTGCTTTATAAGGGGTTTCCCCTTTTGCTTGGCTTTCATCCTGCCTTGCCGGCTGTCATGTAAGACATGCCTTTCACCTTCCAACTGTGATCATGAGGCCTCCCCACCTGTGTTGAACTGTGAGTCCATTAAACCTCTTTTTTCTTTATAAATCACCCAGTCTCAGGTATGTCTTTATCAGCAGCATGAAAACAGACTAATACAAGGTCCTTTGGAATCGTCTAAGTTCCTAATTTATTTGGATATTAACTTCTTATCAGATATATAGCATGTAAATATTTTCTCCCATTCTTTAGGTTGTCTTTTCATTGTATTGATTGTCTCCTTTGTTGTGCTGAATCTTTTACTTTGATTTAGTCCCATTTGTCTAGTTTTGCTTTTGTTGTCTATACTTTTGGTGTCAAATCTGAAAATTTATTACCAATACCAGTGTCAAGGAGCTTTTCTCCTATATTTATGTCTAAGAGTTTTACAATATTGCTCCTAGGTTGAGGTCTTTTATCCATTTTGAGTCAATTTTTGTATGTGGGGTGAGATAAGGGTTCAGTTTCATTCTTCTGCATGTGGATATCCAGTTTTCCCAACACCATTTATTAAAGAGACTAAACTTTTATCATTGTGTTTTCTTGGCACCAATGCTGAAGATCAATTGATTGTAAAGGCATGGATTTGTTTCTGTGCTTTCTATTCTTTTCCCTTGGCCTACATGTCTGTTTTTATGCCAGTACCATACTATTTTAATTACTATAGCTTTATAATTTAGTTTGGAATAAGGTAATGTGAAGCTTCCACTTTTGTTTTTTCTGTTCAAGAATGTTTTGACTGTTTGGGGTCTGTTGCACACAGATTTTAGAATTGCTTTTTTCCATTGCTTTGAAAAATGCCACTGAAATTTTGATAGGGGTTGCATTATATCTGTAGATCACACTGAGTAATAGAGATTCTTTTATCTTCAAATTCTTTCATCAGTGTTCTATAGTTTTTGGTATATAGAAATTTTACTTTCTTATTTAAATTTATTCCTAAGTTAATTTTTTGATGCTATTGTAAATGAGATTGTGTTCTTTCAGATGGACTCTCGCTCTGTCACCCAGGCTGGAGTGCAGTGGTGTGATCTCAGCTCACTGCAAGCTCTGCCTCCCGGGTTCACACCATTCTCCTGCCTCAGCCTCCCGAGTACAGGCGGCCACCACCACGCCCGGCTAATTTTTTGTATTTTTAGTAGAGATGGGGTTTCACCATGTTAGCCAGGATGGTCTCGATCTCCTAACCTCATTATCCACCTGCCTCAGCCTCCCAAATTGCTGGGATTACAGGCGTGAGCCACCGCGCACAGCCCGAGATTGTTTTCTTAATTTCTTTCTGGGATAGTTCACTGTTAGTATATAGAAATGCAATAGGTTTTTTTTTTTTTAATGTTAATTATGTGTTCTGTAAATTTGCTGAATTTGTTTCTTAATTTTAACAGTTTTTTTTTGGAGCCTTTAGAATTTTCTCTATATAAGATCATGTCATCTTGAAATAGACACACTTTCACTTCTTTTCCAATTTGGATGCCTTTTATTTCTTTTTCTTACCTAATTGCTCTGGCTAGGACTTACAGACTTTTTCAGAAACCCCCCACAGTAATCTAGGGGAGTCCACTGTCACTAGATCTGCTTTATAAGAAACCCTAAAGGGAGTTCCTCAAACTGAAATGCAATAAGACTAATTAGTATCATGAAACCATATGCAGTTATAAAAAGTCACTGGTAACTATACAGTCAAATTCAAAATACTCCTAATACTGTAATGATGCAGTATAATCACTTTAACTTTTAAAAGGTTAAAAGACAAAAAATACTACAAATAAATATAATTACAAAATATACAAAGAAAGAAACTCTGACATCAAAAAACATAAGTGGAGGGGAGTAAAGTGTAGGGTTTTTGTATATGATTGAAGTTAAGTTGTTATCAACTTAAAATAGACCATTATAACTACAATCATGCATTTCTTAATGCGGATATGTTCTGAATAATGCAATTTTGTCATGGTGTGAATATCATAGAGTATACTTACACAAAATTAGATAATACCACCTAACACACACCCAGGCTATATGGTATAACCTATTGTTTCCAGGCTACAAATCTGTACAGCATTGTACTATACTGAATGCTATAGGCAACTGTAATACAATCATAAGCATTTGTGTATCTAATGTATGTAAACATATGAAAGGTACAATAAAAATGTTATAACCTTATGGGACCACCGTTGTATATGTGGCCCATCATTGACCAAAACATCCTTGTGTGGCACACGATAGCATACAATGTTTTATGTAAGCCTCATGATAATCACAAAGACAAACATGTAACAGATACACAAATGAGAATTTTACCACGTTTAAAAAAGAATTAATACAAAGGCACAGGAAAGAATCAAAGTATACCACTACAGAAAATAATCAAAGTAATCAAATCATGCACAGCAAGAGAGAAATAAAAGAACAAGAAAACTACAAAATGCCTATCAATAGTTACTTTAAATATCAGTGGACCAAATCAGTGAAACAAAAGACACAGAGTGGCTGAATGGATAGTAAAACAAGAACCAAATATATGCCACCTATAAGAGACTCACTTCACCTTTAGAGACACACATAGACTGAAAGAGAGGGAACAAAAGAAGAGAAAGAGTAGCTATTCTTACAACAAACAAAATAGACTTTAAGTCAAAAACTGTAACAAGAGACAAAGAAAGTCATTATAGAATGATACAAGGCTCAATTCATCAAGAGGATATAACTACTGCAAATATATATTCTCCCAACATTGGAGCACCTAATTATATAAAGCAAATATTAACAAATCTGAAGAGAGAAGTAGACAACAATAATACAATAACAGTAAGGGACTTCCATATCCCACTTTCAACAATGGATTGATCATTCAGACAGATAATCAATAAGGAAACAGCTGACTTGAACTACACTATAGATCAAATGGACCAGACATATACATGACATTCCTTTCCAAAACAGCAAAATACACATTCTTCTCGAGCATACACAGTACATTCTCCAACATAGGTCATATATTAGGCCAGAAAACAAGTCTTAGCAAATTTAAGAAGATTGAGATCTCACCAAGTATTCTTTTTGACTACAGTGGCATGAAACTGAAATTAAAAACAGGAGAAAACTTAGAAAAGTGACAAATATGTGGAAATCAACCAACACACTCCTGAATAACCAGTAGATCAAAGAAAACATCAAAAAAGAAATAAAATATCTTGAGACAAACTAAAATGAAAGCACGACATACTAAAACTGATGAGATGAAGCAAAAGCCGTTCTAAGAGAGGGAAGTTTATACAGATAAGTGCTAAATAAAGAAAAAAGATCCCAAATAAACCTCAAAAAATAGAAAAAAATAATCAAGCCCAAAATTAGAAGGAAATAACAAAGATCATAGCAGAAATAAATGAAATAGACTAGAAAAACAATAGAAAAGATGAATGAAACGAAGAGTTGATTTTTTGAAAAGATAATAAAAATTGACCAACCTCTCACTAGGCCAAGAAAAAAGAAATCTCAAGTAAATAAAATTAGAACAAAAAAGGAGATATTAAAATTGGTACCATAGAAATACAAAGGATAATAATAGTCTACTCTAAACAACTATGTGTCAACAAATTGTTTAACTTAGAATAGAGAAATTTCTAGAAACATACATCCACTAGACTGAAACATGAAGAAATAGAAAATAAAAACAGATAAATAATGATTAAAAATATTGAGTCAGTAGTCAAAAAGCTCCTGAAAAAGGAAAATCCAAGACCAGATAGCTTAGTGGAGAATTCTACCAAATGTTTGAAGAAGAATTAATACGATTTCTTCACAAACTCTTCCAAAAGTTGAAGAGGAGGGAACACTTCCAAACATTTTTTATGAGGCCAGCATTACCCTGATAACAAAGACAGAAAAGGACACTACAAGGATGACAGAGATTTTTAAGGTACAAATGATGTATTGTTGGAATTGAAAATACAGGCTTTGTTAGTACAAAGATTTGTGTGTGGATAGGTGGATGTGTACTGGTGTGTGCATGCATACATATACAAGCTTAACTTGTTTTATTGCACTTCACTTTATTATGCTTCTCGGATATTGCAGTTTGTACAGGTTGAAGGTTTGTGGCAACCCTGCACCAAGCAAGTCTACCAGTGCCACTTTTCTGGTAGCATGTGCTTATTTTGCACCTCTGTGTTACATCTTTGTAATTCTTGCAATATTTCAAATGTTTTGTTATTATTATATCTGTTATGGTGATCTGTTATCAGTGATCATTGATATTACTATTGTCATTGTTTTGGGGCATCACAAGCCATGCTCCAAAAGACAATGAGCTTAATTGATACATATGTGTATTCGAATGGTTCCATCGATCTGCCCTTCCTCCATCTCACCCTCTCCTCAGGTCTGTTTTCTGAGACACAGCAATATTGAAATTAGGCCAATTAATAACTCTATAAAGGCCTCTATGTGTTCAAGTGAAAGTAAGAGTCACACATCTCTTATTATAAATCTAAAGTGAGAAATGATTAAGCTGAGTGAGGAAGGTATGTTAAAAGCCGAGACAGGCCAAAAGGCCCAGGCTGGTCTCGAACGCCTGACCTCAAGCAATCCACCTGCCGCAGCCTTCCAGGTAGCTGAGATTAAAGGCATGAGCCACCATGTCCAGCTTCTATGCATTATTTTAAATGGAGTATTGAAGACTCTGTTACTGTAGAACTATTTCTAACTTCAATTCTGTCAATATTTTGGTCACAGGCCTTAATGTGATTACACGCTGGTCTGATGTTCATGGCCAGGACATTTTGTTTTCCTGTTGGACATAAACAATCTCACAGAATATCAACTTCAGAAGGTTAATCTGAGACCGTGATAAGTGCAAACAAAAACAAGGGCACTTTATAATGTTGTCTAAGTGCAGATAAAAAACAAGGTCTTGATGCCACCCACAAAATACTTAATAATCATATTGCTCCTGCTTTCTGACAGCATCCAATCTAAAGTCTTCACTTTCTGAGATCCTGTCCGAAATCAACCAATTAAAGTCCAAATCGTATAATAGTTTCTCTCTAACTCCTCCCACTGAGATGACCCATAGTACCCCATTCCTTGCTGCAATGTAATTATATTTACTTACAAGTGTGCTCCTGGTGGTCTTTAACTGAAGGGCACTGACTGGGTCACTGGTGAAGTTCCCCGCAGGAACTGAGTCAGACCCCATCTCAGGGCCCTGCACAAGATAGGTGCCTGCTCTAAGGCGTGGACCCTCGCCACAGCCCTGGCCCGTCTTGACGGGCGAGGGTTACTGTACTTGTCCCAACCGTACAGATGAGAAAGCTGAGACTCAGGGCGAGCAACCCGGGTCCCAGCGGAGCGCCCGGCACACGCCGACACTTCAGCACCAGTCGCGGTGGCCACCACTGTGCGCGGAGATGGCTGCGACGCGTGCGCAGGTAAAGTCCATCCGTGCCTTGCCTCCCACCGGCGCCTTCCCCGGCCTCTGGTTTTTGTACCCGCCAGCGGCTCCGACTCCATCGCGTCCTCTTCCAGTCTAGTGCTTTTTTCCAGATCTCGATCCCAAACTCCCTCCTGCCAGAATCTGGACCCGAATCCACCCATTGCCCGTTTTCTGCTGCCGCTGGAGAGAATCTCTGAGGTCCCCAGGAGAGCCTGCCTGCACGGAAGAGATGCCTCCTCAGTATGGCCGCCCCCGGAGAGGAGCGATTAAGTGCAGACCTCCATGTTGCTCTTGAGCCTGAGCGGCTTCAGGGAGCCATGTTTGTTACTGGCGGGCGCCGACCTCACTGAGCATGTGCAGCCCTGGCCGGGCGGCCTCAAAGTTCTGACATCACAGGGCGGTTCCTGAAGTGGACGTAGTTGTAAGAGCTAGTTATTTTAGACAATGCCTCTGGGATCAGGGACTCTAATCTGGAAATAGGTAGTAGGAGAGGTCGGTGATGCAGTCTCTGGATCAGAGACCTGAGCTATATGGGGTTAGAGAGGGGCCCTGGGCAGGCGAGTCTCTGGGGAGTGTGGTGAGAATCCTTGTGTAAGATGCTGGGAGGAGGTGGGGTCAGGGCTGGGGTCCGTGGGCCGACGGGTTGGGGGATGGCCAGCGTCAGGGATCAGTAGTAGAGATTCTATGTGCCCTGATCGCCAGTGGAGGTTTTAAATACAGAGTATTCATGAGTTTAGCAATGTTATTCGCCTCTCATTATTTAAATAATTTGAAATTTTCCCCAATAACTAGTGTCTTAGAAGTCATGAAAATTTCAGAAAATGACAGGTCTCCTGAGTTCGTGATGGGAGTTGGGCAGCAGTCGCATACGAGCACCTGGAGAGTCCTTGCCAGTTCTTTGGGGATGGGGAGCTCTTAAGACTGCCCTGAGACCGCCCTTTGACCTCATTATGGTCCTTTCTAGATCAAATGCTGTTTTCCATGACTGTCTCTGTTCTTCCCATACGCGAATGGCAGGCATCCAGATCTCCAAGAATAGAGGATTAGGAGAGACTCCACCACCTATGTCCTCACAGTTAATTATCGATTTGTGTCAGTTGCCCATTTTCTCACTTCCTGTTTGTGTGTCAAGGAGTATTAATAAATCTTTGCCTATTTAAAGATATTAGCCTTGGATTTTCAAATATTGCATATTTTGACATGTAAAAATTTGTTAGTTTTATTTTTTCAACCGATCTGACCTGTATAGTTGGGCTTGAGGAAGCTTCCTCATTCTACATGTTACTATGGATTTTCTAATATTAACACAGGGTTGTATTTTTTCCATATAACTTTCTATTGAATTTCTTTTTCCATATGATAGGTGGTGAAGGTTTAGCCCAGTAAAGCAGAGAGGTTAAGAGGTTAGATTGGGGGCTCTGGAGCCAGACCTATGTAGATCTGAGTCCTGGCTCTGGCACTTGAAAGCCGTGTGACCTTGGTTAAGATACTTAGTCCCTCTCTGCCAAATGGAGAAATAAGGGCACCTACCCCATAGGGTAGTTGTGTGATTACACAAGTTAATACACTTCAATCAGTAGCAAGAAAGTGAATGTCAAGCTGTATTTGTTCAGGCAGCCATATGGTAGCCCCACGTCCTTAGTAAACTGAGGTATTGAAGTATCTTCTTTTTCTTTCAGAAAATATTTGTCAAGCACCTTCTGTGTTCTAAGAACTGTTCTAGAGCTTTGCATGCTATGGAGGTCTAGAAATTCACATTATGGTGGCAGGTGACAGACAATACAAAGAGATAAAGCAATTTCATATAGTGATAAGCTAGGGAGGAGTGCTAAAAGGAGCCAAGGTGTAGTGGTGACTGGAAGGTGACCAGGGAAACCACTGTAGGGTTTCTAAGTGATGAGATCTGTGACAAATCCCTGTGGTCAGCAGCAGGCATTGGATATGTAACTTTATTCTGTCCCATTGATCTTGTAGTCAACCCTGGTCTGTTCTGTATTGTTTTAATTACATAATCTTTGTAATAATCTTTAATACCTGGTGGAGTGCTCTGTTTACTTATTTCTGCATAATTAACCACCCCTAAGCTTAACTTACTCATGGTTCTGCAGGGTGACTGCTCTCCATGTTTCTAGGTGGTTCTGCATGGGGCCTCTCACATGTGCTACAGTCAAACATTAGCCGGGGCCACAGTCATCTGAAACTCACTTACATGGCTGACAATTGATGTTGGCTGTTGCCTGGAGAAGACATATGTGGCGTGGTGGAATGGAATGGTGACTAGATTCAAGAAAGAGCTTCCCAGGAGGAAGGCTACCAAGAGACCGAAGTAGAGGCTTCAGTTTCTTAAAAAAAAAAAAAAAAAAAAAAAATCGGGCAAGGCACGATGGCTCATGCATGTAATCCCAGCACTTTGGGAGGCCAAGGCAGGCAGATCACAAGGTCATGAGATCGAGACCATCCTGGCCAACATAGTGAAACCCGTCTCCAATAAAAAAAAAAAATACAAAAATTAGCTGGGCATGGTGGTGTGAACCGGTAGTCCCAACTACTCGGGAGGCTGAGACAGGAGAATCTCTAGAACCTGGGAGGCGGAGGTTGCGGTGAGCTGAGATTGCACCACTGCACTCAAGACTGGCAATAGAGGGAGATTCCATCTCAAAAAAAAAAAAAAAAAAAATCCAATAGCAGAATTCCCAGAATGGAATTTATGTCACATTCTATGGATCAAGCAAGTTGCAAGGCAGCCAGATTCAAGGGGAAGGGAGCTATTCCTCACCTCTTGAGAAGCAATGTGTGTTGAGGAAGGGAAAGAATTGATGGTAGCTGTCTTTGACTTCTGCCATACAGAGCAAGGTCTCCACACTCCTTTCTCCTGTAATAATTTTCCATTTGAAAATTTTCCTTGCAATTCTCACACCTTTATTATTTCATATAAATTTTACAATCAATTTTTTTCTTGTCTAGATAACCATGCCATTTGGATTAAAATTGCATTACATTGCAACTTTTGAGAAACTATGGGAGGAGAATTGGCAACCTTATAATATTGAATTTGCTCATTAAGGAACATAGTTTCTCTGTTTATTTAGGTGTTATATTTTTCATAACATACATGTTGGTATTTCTACCCAGGCTTTTCTCTTTGTTTTGTCATGTAACCCATGAATGAGACTGCACTGTCTGTGTGATTGGGCAGTTGCCCAAAGTTTAAGGTGTTAACATGCATTAATTCACTTAATCACTCCTCATTTCCTCCTTCCCTCAACCCCTGACAACCATGAATCTGCCTTCTGTCTCTAGATTTGCCTATTCTGGACATTTTATATAGATGTGTCATCCAATATCTGGTCTTTTCTGACTGGCTTCTTTCACGTAGCAGGATTCTACGGTTTATTGAGGTTCATTCATTGTGTGGCCTGTATCAGTGCTTCATTCCTGTTTATGGCTGAATAATGTTCCACTGTATGTACATATGTATGTATACCACACTTTGTATATCCATTTATTTACTGGAGGATATCTGGGTTATTGACAGTATATTTCAGGAGTCCCCAAGATCATCCTCCCCCTTGATCTACTGCTCTTTGTATCTTATATGACCTGTGCAGAACTATTTATCTGGAAATTAGGTGATGGTTAACTAAATATAGTTCTTCTAAAGACTCATTTTCCGTTGGTATTACATCCTGAGGAGACTTTAACTCAATCTCCCAATACATTTGATCATCAATATCAGTATTACCACATGACTTATTTGCATGAGGTAATCAAATCTAACCAGCCATGCCAGTGTTACCCATATTGCATGTTGTGGTAGTAGATGCAGCCCCCCAAAATAAAAGTCAAAAGATGCTCGCACATTCCTGAGGTTCTTCTCAGCCACTAACAATTGGTGTAGTTCATCATCACCTGGAATGACCAAAATGTCTCCCATGGAAATGCGGCTCAGCTGTGTAGGCTTCCATTTAACTTTGTCAGGTTCCGAGGCAGGGCTGGCTTGAGTGGTCTTGTTTCCACTTTGGCTATGATGAATAATGCTGCTGTGAACATTCAGGTATACGTTTTTGTGTGGTTTCATTTCTTTTAAGTATATACCTTGGAGTGTAATTACTGGATCATATGATAACTCTGTTTTAATTTTTGAGAAACTACCAAAATGTTTTCCAAAACAGACAAGATTTTACATTCCCTCAGCATTGAATGAAGGTTCTTATCCAGTTTCCTGTTCTTGCTGACACTCCTTATTGTTTGTCTTTTGAATTTAGTTATCTCAGTGGGGTGAAGTGGTGTATCATTGTGTTTTGATTTGCATTTCCCTAATAATGAATGTTATTGAGCACCTTGTCACATGCTTATTGGCCATTTTTCATCTTTTTGAAGAAATGTCTATTCATCTTTTGCCCATTTTTAAATTGCGTTGTCTTTTTATTGAGTTGTAAGAGTGGTTATATCGTCTGGAACATGTGTTCCTTATCAGATATAAGACTTATAAGTTTTTGTCCCATTCTGTGGTTGTCCTTATTTTCTTATGTAACCTTTGTATTAGTCTGTTTTCATGCTGCTGATAAAGACATACCTGAGACTGGTCAATTGACAAAAGAAGGAGGTTTATTGGACTCACAGTTCCATGTGGCTGGGGAGACCACACAATCATGGCGAAAGATGAAAGGCAAGGAGGAGCAAGTCACGTCTTACATGGATGGCAGCAGGCAAAGTGAGAGCTTGTGCAGGGAAACTCTCATTTTTAAAACCATCAGATCTCGTGAGACTCATTCACTATCATGAGAACAGCACAGAGCAAAATGAATCAACAGTTGACAAATTAAGGATTAACTTATGCAAGATTTGACTGAGAATACTGAAGAAAACATTCTCGACATACTCGACATCATTAGTTATTAAAGAAATGCAAACGAAACGTATAATGAGCTGCCTCTTCAAACCTACTAGATTCAACAAATATTTATTATTTATTTGCTCTATGCCAGAAATGTGTCTTCATGCCAGGTTAAGAAAAAGAGAAAACAGAAAAAAAAATAGCTGTCCCTGACAGGAAGAGCTTACGTTCTTTCTTTTTGGGCGAGAAAGGCAGTGAAAAATTAAAAAAAGAAACGCAGTATTAACATGCGGATAAGTTCTAGGGTGAAATTTGAATGCAGATCCAGAGTGACTGTCTGCCTCTCAAAAGAATTCTGCTGAGATGTCTAGAATTAAGTAGAGTAGCAAGCAAATATCTACAGCGCATGTCTCTTTCAAAGACAGAAAAACAAAGTGGTTTTTAAGGTGGGTGAATCTTGGCATTTCCAAGAAATATCAGGAGGCTCTTAAGGATAGAATGACCAAAACAATGAGGGCTGTGATAAAATAAATTGGGGGAGGTATGGAGAAGGATCCCATATTGTTTCTTTCACAAACAATGACAAGGTTTTGGGTTTTACTTTGAGAAGGGGAACAATTAGAAAGCTATGAGCAAGACTGTGAAATTATTTGATTTATGTTTTATAATCATTCTGACTCCTGGCTGAAAAACAGCCTCTAGGAATGAAAGTGAGAGAAATAGGGTCATCATTTATGAAGCTATTCCAATGATCCAGTGCTTTGGCAGTTGCCTGGACATGGCTAGTAAGAGGTAAAAGTAATCTGATACATCTTAAAGGCAGGTGTTCATGGATTTGATATGGCAAATGAAAGAAAGAAACCACTATGTGTTATATTCCTTGAGCCAAAATTGAGGTGTAAAATAAACATGCTCACATAAATGGTTGATTATGTTCTTAAATGAAGGAGAAAATAGTTGCAGTGATGTTAAGTCATCAACCATTTAAAGTGTTGCTTTTGAAAGAGATGAATCAAGGAAGGGATGGACATGAATTTTCCTTACCTAAAAAGCTAGTGAAAATTAAGATTGACATGAACAGGATTAAAACTTTATTTTATAGTGGTACTGAGATGAAACATCACACTATCTGACTTCATAGCTTAAAAATATAATCACCCCACCAACTTCTCACTCTTTTCAAGGATTTTGTGAGTAACCAGCTTTAATTTGGAAAACCTAGACTTGTACATACAGATTGTTATGTTTGTGAGTATGATTATTTCTATCATTTTGTTTTACATTGTGCTTTATCATTCAATAATTAATATCTATCATTTTCCATTAACTAATTTATTTTATGACCATTTATTATTATTATTACCCTATGGTAGTCAATAATTACTGATACATATTCCATTGTTTTTTGGGATTTGATATAGAATCAGAGAAGTTTGTTGCCAACTCCTTTTTAGTTGAATATATATTGTTTTTGTCTTATATTTAGTTTTTGTAAAACTTCAGATTTTCCATCTTGCCCCACTATTTATTGCTAAAAATCATATCCAAATATGACAAGGTTTAGGAACACACACAGTTAATGAACACATGTTAAAGTATAATAACACAGAATACATTTTTGAAAGTAAGTTTATTAAAATTAGCAATATATTTCTAGTTATATGCATAAGGATATACCAACATGGATTTTGCCTGCCCAATATTAATTTTCTCTTAATTTCTTACTTACAGAACTTCAATTTGGTCAGGAGTCTAAGCCCCAAATTATGTTTGCTGTCATGTACTCATGACAGCTCTTTTTCTTGATTTTTCTAGCCTTTATCCATTTGGAAATGTGAACCACCTTTTATAGGTGAGATACAGTATAGCTGAACACTTCTCTAAAGGTTTCTGTAAAAAAGCATAAATGTACAAGCCTATCATCCCGATTCTATTTAGTTTGCCTTGAATATGAATGTGATAAGTGAAGTAAGATCTCACATCTTGCAACATGAAGTGGGAGAAGGGTCAACATAGAAGAAATGTCAGAAGAAATGAACCAATAGAAAATTCCTCATTTGCTAAATTTTGTTAAAAGAAAAAAATAGATTTTAATATTAATCTGATCTACACAGGCAAATGTTAACTGCAATGAAAATGTCTTTTAGATAATTCAGAACACTTTCCATCCTTGGTAAAAGTATTCATTTTACTGACTCACTATTATATATTTTGTTAAGTTAGAAACTCATATTCAATCAAAGGAAATAAAAGTTCCCCCTAATTTCTAGGAATATAAAAAAATAGGTACACATAGCTTAGATAATATTTTCTATATTTGTTCAAGTAAATCAGTTTAGTAATTGTTTGAAATACTTCCAATTGATATGAGTCCAATTTTAGAAGGAATTTTAGTTGGAAGTGTTATTCTCTTTATGAAGATGTAAATGGCTCTGTTTACTGGCCAATATTTACATACACATACAGTCAATGAATGTTAATTTGCACACAGTGGCATATATAATTCAAAGTTCATTTTATTAGTTAATTTAGATATGGTTCAATGAGAGTTTCAAACTGAGGGCATAGAGTCATATAACATACTCTAGAAGAACAACTCACAAAAACTAAAATAAATTGCTTTACCATGTTTGCCTTTGTATTTCACTTTTTCTGTTCTGAAGAATAAGCATGGTAAAATTTACATATATCTAATGCATATAATGGGCAATGTATGAATTATTTTACAAATTACTCATAACCAGAAGAGTTCTGTTGGATTTTACCATATGGCCAGATTCATCTTGCCTTTCAAACTTATGTAAGTAATTTTTCCAAATCTCTTTTTTTCCCATAACATACATGCTGCTGAGTCCACTCCTCCAAACTAAGTAAACATAGGAATGCTCATGGCCAAATCATAAGTATAGAAAGTGACTTTGGAACTGATGAAGACTTTCTTCTTGTCTACGCTTTAGTCAGGCTTCTAGGAACACTCTTTTTGACTCTACTTTGTCCTTGGGCCCTGTCTTTACACTGCCTAGTCCAGCTGTTGCAAGAATGCTGCTAAGTCAGTTTAGAGAGAATCTCCCACTCTTGATATCTGATCACTCTGGCTTGCCTTCAGCAAGAATCCTCTTACGTTAGCTAACAAGAAATCCCCTACCCTTGATGTCTCCTCTTAGTAATTTGTATTCATTGACAACCTTTCACTCTGCTCATTAGCTGCACTTCCCAGATATCTTTGCTGTGTTCAGAGTTGAACCTTATCTCTCTTGCCTATTAGAATCATCTTGACACCTATCATTTTAATCTTAAATAAAGTGATCCTTAACCATTTTAACAAGTGTTGGAAATTTTTTTATTTAGCAGAACTAACAAATTGTTTGCGAACTATTGAAATAGAACTATTCTATTATGGCCTGCAGATATTTTTCTCAATTATAATTCACTTTCATACTGTAAAAGTATCTTTGCTTTGTGTATATCTTTTTCATATAAAAACTTTTAATTTGGCAGGGAATAGTGGCTCATGCCTGTAATCCCAGAACTTTGGGAGGCCCAGATGAGTGGATCATGTAGGTCAGGAATTGAGACCAGCCTGGCCAACATGGCAAAACCCCATCTCTACTAAAAGTACAAAAATTATCTGGGCATGGTTGTGGGCACCTGTATTCTCAGGTACTTGGGAGACTGAGGCAGCAGAATCGCTTGAACCCAGGAAGCAGAGGTTGCAGTGAGCCAAGATCAGGCTGCTGCACTCTAGCCTGAGTGATAGAGTGAGTGAGACTCTGTCTCAAAAAACAAAAAACAAAAAAACCTTTCGATTTATTTTCCAGAGGTCTATTTTTAATTTAGTAACAAGATTTTTAAAAATATTTATAAAATTAAATAACAATAGAATGTTAGAACTAGGCCCTATAAAATATAAAATTGTCAAAATTGCTTAGCATGATTGTAGCTTCAAGGATCCTATTGTTAATGTGGCAACTTCTGAAACCAAACATCATCATGCTTAGCATCAAGAGCTAAAGTAGTCATGAGTTAATGGAGAAGAACAACTAAGGAATTGGCTGCCGAAGTAAAGTTTATGCTAAATTTAAATGAAATGAAATAACAAAGTAGTTTGAAATGAACATTCCATTGATTATTTTTAAAATTTTATTTATTAACAAAGTAGCTTATACTAACTGCCCACTGTCTATCCCAATAGTTACAGCAATAACATATAGTTAACATTTGTAATTAAATATTTCATTTCATACAAATAGTATTTTAAAATTCAAGTGTTGATTTTTAAGCCTTTGAATGTTTGGCTGTTTAAAATTTAAGTGCATATAAAAATTGTAGAAAAGGGTCATTATTAATAAAATATTCAAAATATGGTAAATTTTGCATGATGATTTAATATATGCAAATTGACAAGTGATGTGAATAGTACATTTGAATAGAGAAAATATGTACATAAATGAATGGTATTTCAGAATCTAAGCAAATTGATGACTACATTATGTACTTGTCCCCAATGTAAATGAAATATTAATTAGAAAACTTTTTTTTTTCACTAAAGGGCTGAACATAAAGTGTGATGGCAAATTGGTGTGTTCTTGTATTTCTTGTCTTTGGGGATTCTTTTCAGTATATTTTCACTTAATGTTTTAGCAACATTTTTCGTCATCCTTTTACACTTATAGCTGGACTATGCTTAGTGATAGAAAATAGTTATATAATGGGATTATACTTGGCCATATGAATTTGATGGTATGAGTTAATCTGTGTTTCACCTTACTTGTGTCTACTTGTAAATCATTGATGCTAATGTTATTAGTAATTTTTAGAGGGTAGAAATGTTTTCTATATGACATTTTTGAGAAAAGGAAGTCAATAAATCCCATTTGATATGCAACAGAAATAAAGATCTCTTATTTCAATTTTAAAATGCTTTATAACTTACATTGCTTTGTTTCATGCATTATTTGTTTTGATCAGATGCAAAATGAGTCAGTAATGTCATCTAACCACAAGTTTGATACATTTTTTAAAGAAAAATTTCCAAAATACTTTAACTGAGCAATAGGCTAATACTTCATAAATTAAAATATTTAAATATTCAATCTTTCTGAGTGGATATTTGTTGCATATCTGATAACTTGGCCTAATTCTGTAATTGGGATGAGAACTACCCAATTTTATTGGTAACCTCTTTTCTGCTCTGCAACTTTGGAAATACTATGGAGGACTCCAAATTCATTTGAGACAAAAATATTAAAAATGTATCCCCTGATTAGGATTTCAGTTCCAAAGCTCTCCTTGGAGGGATATAGAGCTGGAGAAAATCACATTTATTTTTCGTCTCTTTAATATTGATATATAAAAGTCAGGTTAAAATTAGTATCAAATTGGGAAGCCTGCATGGTAAACCGGCTGGAATAATACACTCTGCAATATGAAGGAAAAAGGAAAAATTTAGTTGATTTATTTACCTAACTATAATTTTTTAAAGAATTTTAAGTTTCTAATAAATTTAACTATAAATTTTTAATTTTCTATCTTTCATTTAGTACCATCTATATAAACTTTTCCAGGCTACTTCTCTGAATCACCTGGCAAAATCTTATAATTTACCACCTAATTGAATAAAACACACACACAAAATAATCTATTTTGAATAATAAACATCATTTATAATTATCTTGTTGAGATTGAGAGTAATCATCAGGTGTGGAAAAACTATTGAGGAAATTTTAACAATTTAAAATGTAATAATCTTTTTTGTATTATGTGTGTTTTATACTCAGAAGTGCATATGTTTTATAAAATTATGTGAATTTATAAATGTGGTCAATATTAATATTAAATTGTATCTTTTAATAGTATCTTCAATTATCTTTTTTTTTGCTGCTGGATTCCATTTAGAAAAAAAAAATGTTCTATATAGCAGTGTTGCTTTCTTTTTCTTTTCTTTTTGCTTTTCTTTCTTTTTTCTATTGATAAAGTATTTACTTGATCTTGGGGAAGAGGTATATAATCAAGTGACCACATTTTTCTTTGTTACATATTATTAAAAATTTATAATCAATCTTTCCAAATTGTAATCGGTCTGAAACCCATTTGCTTTACTCAAATTATTTAGTGACTGTAAAAGTTTCAGAAACATATGAAAGTTACAAATTAGCTTTAAATGTGTCATGTTTAAAGCAGTTGTTTTAAAAGCTAAGTCATTATCCATTATTATGTAACTAGTATTCTAAATATCACATCTTTGCATTGTTTGACTTTTAAGGCATATGAAATGTTTTGGATCAGAGAAATCATTTGCTTCACATCCCTAAGAGACAGACTCTATGGGTACTGAGTCATGCTAACAGTGGCAAAACCTGACAAACAATAAGCATCTTTTTCAAATATTTTAAACATTTCACATAAAAATTTACTTTTAGCATACATTGCAGCCATCGAGGAAGCCTAAAGTAAGGAAAACCTCAGTGAAATATGATGAAGTTAATAAAAAGAAATAGCCATCATTTTATTTGTTTAAATTGCCATTATCTCTCATATAATTATGTACAATATATAACATAGGATAATTAAGTCAAACTGTGTACCTACAGATATGGAGAGCCTTATATTTTAGGAAAAAGTAAAATGTAAATTAACTGGTAAAGATGAGCTTTTCAATCTATAAGGCATAGACACTTTTCCTTGGTGGATTTGAAAAGGTTCTTAGAAATCTGAAAATAAGATAGTTTTTCTATAATAAATGGTAAAAAACACTTTCACATCTTAACCTTATCATAGTATCACAATGCTGGAATGTTTTTACTGGGAAATAAGTAAGCTAATTCAATTATAAATTGCAGTAGAGGAAAGGATGAAGGTTAAAAAACACTATCTATTCAAATCCTTAGTCATGAGGTTGAATTCATTGAATCAGAGTGTGAATATATATCTATATTTGAGACAGAATGTGTATGTATGTGTGTGAGTGTGAGTGTGTGTGTACAGTCATTAGACATTTGCCTCATGGACAGTGGAGGAAAACATTTGCTGAGCTGCTTTCCTACCTTAAAGATTTACAACTGCACTGTTTTCAAGATATACTTTTTATATCTCAAATAATGTAATATATTATGTTTAGTTGTTGATATAACAAGATATCTGAATACCCCATAATTGAAATTATACCTGGAAATAAATACTTGAAATACTTGCTTCAGTGACATTTGTGGAAGTATACTTATTTAAGTTCAAATTATAGGTATATTGAACAAAATGATATTGGATTCTTCACTGGCTGCATACTTCTGAAACTTGTAAATAATTTGAAATTAGTTTCCAAGAACAGAAAGACAAATATTAGATAGGAAATACCAAATTCTTAAGATTCATACATATAAAAGTGAAATAAAAATCAAACTTAATCTTATCATGAATTTTCTACTGTGGCTTAATTTTAGAACTTGTTATAAAAATAGAAATGCTATTAATTTAATTACATTTATTAAAATCTAAAAATAGGTGATTATAGCTAGGACATTGACAAGTGTAACTATACATGAGTAAATATAACTGAGGATAGCAACACATGAAATATATCATAAAATTGAATTATTCTATAAATAGTATTAAGTCTGTATTACTTGGAACTTGATTCCACTTAGAATGTCCCTGCTTTTATTTATTTATTTATTTTTGTAAACAAAATGAGCAAGAGGTTATTACACTTCATTCACTGCGAAAAGGTAACACTACATCAAAGATAACTCACATACTTGCAGAAATATGGAAGGTAGTTCTTTCTTTTTTTTGTTAAGAAATAGGGTCTCACTATGTTGCCCAGGTTGTAGTGCAGTGACTATTCAAAGGGGTCATCCCACTACTGATAAGCAGAGGAGTTTTATTCTGCTCAATTTTTGAGTTGACCACTCCTTAGGCAACCTGGTGGTCCTCTGCTCCCTGGAAGCTAACATATTGATGCCAAACTTAGTGCAGACACTTCCTCAGCATAGTGCATACAACCCAGAAATCCTGGGCTCAAGTGTTCCTCCCGCCTCAGCATCCTGAGTAGCTGGGACAACAGGTGTGTGTCACCTGGCTGAAAGGTATTTTTAAATACAAATGTTGTCCAGGAGTGACAGAAGCTGGAGAATTGGACTACTTGATGGAGGCTTTGTACAAGCTTTGAACAATAATAACAACAAAATTGAAATGCCAAAAATATTGTTTAGCAGTTAACCACCAATAAAAGGAAGCCAGCCATTTCACACAGAGGATTTTGTTAATTGATTGCGTGATTCAAGGAAATAATATTATTAGGTGTGTATTAGTCCATTATTGCATTGCTATAAAGAAATACCTGAGATTGGGTAATTTATAAAGAAAAGAGGTTTAACTGACTCACAGTTCTGCATGCTGTACAGAAAGAATGTTGCATCTGCTGGGCATGTGGGGAGGCCTCATGAAATGTATAACCATGGTGGGAAAATGAAGAGGGAGCCGGTGCTTCATATAGCTGGGAGCAGGAAGAAAAGTGAGAGGTGAGGAGGTGCTACACCCTTTTAACAACCAGATTTCATAATAACTCACTCACTCACTATCATAAGAATAGCACCAAGGAAATGGTATTAAACCATTAAAAAGAAACCACTCCACAATCCAATAACCTCCCATCAGGCCCCACCTCCAACACTGGGTATTTCAATTTGACATGAGATTTGGTTGGGGACATAGATCCAAACCATATTATTTTGCCCTAGTCCCTCCCAAATTTTGTCTTTCTCAGTTTGCAAAATATAATCATGCCTTCCCATCAGTCCCTCAAAGTCTTAACTCACTTCAGCATTAACTCAAACATCCAAAGTCTAAAGTCTTATCTGAGATGAGGCAAGCCCCTTCTGCCTAAGACCCTGTAAAATAAAAAAAAAAAACAAAAACTCCCAAGATATAATGTATAATGGGGGTACAGGGATTGGGTAAATACTCCCATTTCAAAAGGGAGAAATTGGCCAAAAGTAAGGGGCTACGGGCCGCATGCAAGTCTGAAACCCAGTAGGAAAGTTATTAAGTCTTAAAGCTTAACAATCTCCTTTGACGCCATCCAGGGCATACCACTGCAAGGGGTGAGCTCCCAAAGCCTTGTGCTGCTCCACTCCTGTGACTTTGCAGGGTTCAGCTCCTACAGCTGCTCTCAAGGGCTGGTGTTGAGTGCTTGCACCATTTCCAGGCACACGGTACAAGTGCTGGTGGATCTACCATTCTGGGGTCTGGAAGATAGTGTCCCTCTTCTCATAGTTCCCCTAGATAGTGGTCCAGTAGGGACACTGTGTGGTGGCTCCAACCCCACCTTTCCCCTCTTCAGTGCCCTCGTAGAGATTCTCCATCAGGGCTCTGACCCTGCAGCAGATTTCTGACTGTACATCTAGGTTTCTTCATACATTCTCTGAAATCTAGCCTCAACTCTTGTACTCTGTGCACCCTCAGGCTTAATGCCACATGGAAGCCATCAAGACTTATGGCTTGAACCCTCTGGAGCAGCATCCTGAGCTGTACCTGGGCCACTTGGAGCCATGGCTAGAGCTGCAACAGATGAGATGCATGTAGTAGTGTCCCATTCTTCCTTCGTTGTCCTCTGAGCCTGTGATGGGAGGAGCTGCCACAAAGGTCTCTGAAATGCCCTGGAGGGTATCCCTCATTTTCTTGGCTATCAGCATGTGCCTTCCTTTTAGTTAAGCAAGTTTCTGCAGCTTGCTTGAATTTCTCTCCTGAAAATGGGCTTTTTGTTCTACCACATGGCCAGGCTGCAAATTTTTCAAGTTTCTACACTCTGCTTCCCTTCTAAATATAAGTTTCAGTTTGAGGTCATTTCTTTGCTCACACACATCAAAATAGTTTGTCAGAAGTAGTGAGCTTACCTCCTGAATGCTTTGCTGCTTAGAAATTTTTTCCACCAGATACCCACCAGAACTTGAGATACTCTCAAGTTCAAAATTCCACAGATCCCTAGGGCAGGCCCACAGTGCAGCCAACCTTTTTGCTAATGCCTAACTAAAGTGACCTTTGCTCCAGTTCCCATTAAGTTCCTTATCTCCATCTGAGACCTCCTCAGCCTGGACTTCATTGTGAGTCTCTATCAGTAGCTTGGTCACAACAATGTAACAAGACTCTAGTAAGTTCAAAACTTGCCCTCATCTTCCTGTCTTCTTCTGATCTCTCCAAACCCTTCCAATCTCTGCCCACTATCCAGTTTCAAAGCCACTTTCACATTTTCCGGTATGTTTACAACAATATCATATTCCTCTACCAATTTTCTATATTAGTCCTTTCTTACATTGCTCTAAAGAAATACCTGAGACTGGGTAATTTATAAAGAAAAGCAGTTTAATTGGCTCATGGTTCTGCACGTTATACAGAAAGCATGATGCATCTGCTGGGCTTCTGCGGGGGCCTCAGTAAGCTAACAATCATGGCAGAAGGTGAAGGGGGAGCCAGCACTTCACATGGCTGGAAGCAGGAAGAAGAGTGAGAGGTGGGGAGGTGCTATACACTTTTAACAACCAGACTCACAATAACTCACTCACTGTCACAAGAACAGCACCAAGGAGATGGTGCTAAACCATTTAAGAGAAACCGCCCGATGATCCAATTGCCTCCCAACAGGCCCCACCTCCAACAGTGGGACTTACAGTTTGACATGAGATTTGGGTGGGGACACAGATCCAAATGATATCAATGTGTTAAAAGGAAAAGGAGATAGCAGTGGGAAATGGATATTTAACTTCAGTTTATGAGTTTTTATTTTAGAGTTCTAAAATTATGTCTTATACTGCCTATACAAGTGCTAGAATAGTTTCTGTATTAAGTGGTAGATATTAATATCCAAATATCATACTTACCTTCTTTGACCTTGCAGTTTAAGACGGCATTTTAAGAAAGTAAACAAACACATTGATTTTTTTTTAAAGGAGACATTTTTCAGTAAAGGATATAAGTATGTTAACATGAGAGATATAGAAAAATTACAGATGGACAGACAATCCTACATAGAAACCTAAGGAAGCATTTAACTCAGACACAGAGATTGAGAAGAGTAAAGTGGGTGAAATCTGGGAAAGAATGCTTCCAGTAGAAGAAACAGAATATTGAAGGAACAGAGATTGATGTCAAGAGTTCAGGGAAACAAACCAGAATAAGAATGTTTAGACAAAAGGCTGATGGTAGAAGGATATTGAGACTGAAAGTTATAGAGAGCACAGGCTTACTCGAAAATTAGTAGACAAAAGAACATCTGTAAGTTCAATCATGAAGGAGTGCCAGAATTAAAGAGAAAATAAGGAAATAATAAAGGGAATCTTTTGATGTGAGGAACCAATTGGGCTACCAACTCAGCCTGCCAGCCTGCCATTCCAGTGACAGTAGGAAATAAATGTTCTGTAAGTTATTTGGAAATTAGAGGACAAAGTAATTGTTTGTTCTATAGGTAGAGAAACATTTTTGTAAATGATAATACAGCTGTTCTACCGATTTCTCTTAATTTTCAAAATTTTTGAAGGGGTACACTATATTTTCATGATTTGTTCATTCTGATTTCCAACTCATATTTGTTCATCATTTTCTCTTTAAATTTTAAAAAGTTGAAAGACATTCATATCACAAAATTTTCACAGGATAATTTTTCTAGTTGCAACTGTAGATTTATGTGGATATATACAAATCTCTCTAGTGACACATCTAAAGATTAATGTTATGTTCTGTTCCATAGGGAGCAAATATACCACATGAAACATCGCAACTATGAATCCAACTAGACTGTATGGGAAACATATATTGAAAAATAAATTAAAATTATAAGTTCTATGAGAAAACACAAACATTTGAGTAAAAAAATGAGAAAGGTTTAGTGGTGACTTCTTCCCATGTTAGAAAAAAGGATTCATAATGAACAACTTTTTTTTTCATGTATTTCCTACAATTGAGTAAAATAATAGGACTAGGTAAGTTTACTGGTTTGCATTTTTTCATCTGGGTCTGGTTTTCCATTTCAATTGTTAGCCATTGTATTAACTACTTTCACCATTCAAAGGAATGAATGATCTGCCATAGTATTTTCTGCAGTTCCATCTCTTGTTTTCAGTATCATTCCAATTCTGCATCTATCTAATTTTGATCTCTGTTCTATTTATTTTCCTGATTCATAACATTTTGCTTTGTGCTGAGCACCTAATTGTCTCTCTGTCATTCTCAACATTTTAGCCCTATGGTCTAAAAGATGCCCAAAAGAATGTAGCATATTCTAGTATATCAGTGGGACAACATAAACAACTTGCTTAATTGTTAATCTATTTAAAAATGAAACAGTGTTTTTCATTTTTTCAATCAATTTAATGCTGACTAGATCCTATAACTACATTCTACTTTTTATAACTAAAGAACTCCAGAAAAATAAATGTAATAGCTTTGCTGGAAAAGATTAACCTTACAATGCCTTCCTAATGCCCTTACTTTTTTTTTTTTTTGAAAAGTGTTTTCTGGTACACAAAAATAATATTCTGAAATATCTCTCTGATATTTGATTGCCGGATTTAACCTACATACCTCTGAACCTTGGTTTTTCAGACATGCAAACTGCTTAACAAGTTCCAATGCATTAATCAATGCACCATTGCATAACTTACAGTAAGAAAAGTTGGTAGATATTTCAGCAATGCCATAAAATATGCTTCCATTTAACACTTTGAGACAGCCAATACACTATTTATATTATTGAGACAAAACAAACCTAAGATCACAGAAAAATATTTATTTTAATAGAATGGTATTTAAGTAGATAGTTTTTTTGTTGTGTTTTTGTTTGTTTGTTTGTTTGTTTGTTTTTGAGATGGAGTCTCCCTCTGTCGCCCAGGTTGGAGTTCAGTGGCCCAGTCTTGGCTCACTGTAACCTCCCCTTCCCAAGTTCAAGCAGTTCTCCCTGCCTCAGCCTCCTGAGTAGCTGAAATTACAGGCATGCACCACCACGCCTGTTTAATTTTTGTGTTTTTAGTAAAGATGGGATGTCACTATGTTGGCCAGGCTCGTCTTGAACTCCTGACCTCAGGTGATCTGCCCACCTTGGCCTCCCAAAGTGTAAGTAGATAGTCTAAATGATTATGGGTTTCAATAGGTTTTGTTAATTTGTTTTAGTTGACATACAAGAGCACTACAAAACCACATTATTTTATTTTAATTTTTATCAGTAAACTTCATTATATTAAAGGCCATATTGCCCACTGAATATGATTTTGATAAGCACAACTTCTATAATTTACAACTTACTGTATATGGTCTAATATAAATTACATTTAGCTATCTTGAATAAAAGATATGAATCCCCAAAAACTTAATATATAAAATAATTTCTACAATCAATTAAGCCACATGGGGCCTGGTGTGCAAGGGCTGCAAACAGCATCATCCTAGGTAGTGTACAGCAGCCTGTTCCTTGCGTACAACAGCCTTTGCCATTGGACATTTATGTCTTGGATCTAGTGCTTTCCCTAGTCTAGGTTTAAGACCGGATGTAGTATGCCTTTGGAAAGCCTCAGGACCCAGAGGTCAGAGTTCACATTGGCCATGTTCATCCATACCAAGCTGCAAACCCTGGAGCATGTGACTGAGGCCTTATTTAGGGCCAAATTCAAGTTCAGTGAATGCCCAAAAAGCCACATCTCAAAGAAGTGCGATTTTACTAAGTTTAATGCATATACATTTTAAGACTTGGTGGCTGAGAAACAACTCATCCTGGATGGCTGTGGGGCCAAATATAGCCCTGGAATCATGGGCCCCTGGACAAGCAGCTAGCCCTGCATTAGAAAAGAGCTGCCCCCTCTTTACGCATGCCCACCAGTGAATTCTATTTCCTGTACATCTAATAAATCAATCTATCTATCTATCTATCTATCTATCTATCTATCTATCTATCTATCTATCTAAATAATTCAATAATATGCAGTAGATTAAAAAAATAAACACAACTTGATGTCTAACTACTGTGGATATATTTTGTCATTTATTAACATTCCCCTTTCAGGTTAATATCAAGTCAACAAAAATTTGGAGTTCTCTTGACCCTTTCCCCAATGTGTAAATTAGTAATATAATGTCAATATTCAGACAGGCAAATAAACTAAGCTCCCTTTGATGAAAACGACATGCAGTAACGCTTCCCTACTGAGAATCATCTTAGTTTGTGAAATCATAATCTGGAATGGCTATATCTGCAAAATACATTAAAAGAAAGAAAATATGAAAAACATAATCTACAATACTTTTATGTATATCTAATCATTTTATATTTCTTTTTTATTATACTACTTGAAATACATACATAAAGGATAAAGAGTTTCAACAAATCTCAAAAAGGAAACCTAATTATGTATAATATTCTGACTGATTTTGTTTGCTTACCAAATTGAAATTGAAAAGAAAAAATACAGCACTCTATAAAAAAATAAAATGATTTCAAAATATAATTATTTTCTCCCTTTGAAAATATAAATGTTTAAATAATGGTGAAATAGAGAACATAAACATTCACAAATATTACATATCCATTCAACATTTTCAGGTATTATTTTGTTTTGTTCAAACCTCCCCTTCTGTCATTTTTCTCTCCTTTCTTTATCTTTAGCATAACTGAGCTGCTTTCCAAACATCTATAGTTATACCGGACATAGCATTTTCCAACATCAAACATGGTTTTTCTTAAACACCAGTTCCAAATATTAATTCCCAGGGAAAATGACATTTTCCATATGTGAGAAATATTGGAACCAATATAACAAAACTCATTAACATTTATAACATTTGAAAATAATTTCACAAAAGTTTTATTTAAAAAATTTTATTGTAAATTTATGTAAGAAATTCTCTATCCATTACATGACTTGTATAACATCCACAGTATACTAAGAAAATATTTTTAAAATATAGGATAAGGTGTCTAAATAATAAATTTTTAAGACTGCTTAGAGCCACTATTAAAAATCTGAGAATAAGGCATGAATTTTTTTTTTTTTTTTTTTTTGAGACGGAGTCTCGCTCTGTCGCCCAGGCTGGGGTGCAGTGGCGCGACCTCAGCTCACTGCAAGCTCCGCCTCCCGGGTTCACGCCATTCTCCTGCCTCAGCCTCCCGAGTAGCCGGGACCACAGGCGCCCGCCACCACGCCCGGCTAATTTTTTGTATTTTTAGTAGAGGCGGGGTTTCACCGCGTTAGCCAGGATGGTCTCGATCTCCTGACCTCATGATCCGCCCGCCTCTGCCTCCCAAAGTGCTGGGATTACAGGCGTGAGCCACCGCGCCCGGCCGAATATTTTTTGATCTATAGAGATTATATATCGGCATGCTGGCATTGGCTTTTATTACAGAATAAGCATTTTAATCTTCATTCACTCTCATCAATTCATTATAGAAACCAGCTTAAAAAAAAAGACCACCACTTGTAGAAAACAGTTAATATTTCGATGGTTTACCTGGAAGTTTACTGGGCATAAATTTATAAAATACATTTATGGATGGAAATAAACTGTTTTACTAAACAATATTACAGAATTCTGAATAGATGCTGATTAAGCAGCAAATCAACAAAACTGTTTATTTACCAGTTTGGTGGCTATTATGCTAATTAGATCATCTGTTTAAAATGTGTCCATATGGACAATTTTTCTGTAAATGTTTTCTTTATCTCCACATTGTGTGGTAGTATTTTCATAGAACCAAGTAGAAATTAACTTAAAAATTAGTTATTTAAAGATGACAATAGAAGGTTTTGAACTTTGAGTTCCAAAAGGCAAGCAAATATTTCTGAAATAAAATATATTATATATATTTAATTTCTAATTTAATTTACATATAAAATATTTTTAAAATTCATGTGAATTTGAGATATTTTCACATTGATTGGACTGTTTTTGTACCTCATTTTGCTTGGTCACACTAAAGTGAGATTCATCATCTTGTGGCACCAAAGGAAAACTAGTGTGATTATAAGGAAATTATTACAGTTAGACAACTGTGCATTAATTTCATCATTAAGGACCAAACATGTATACAGATATAAATACTTTTCTCAATACATTACTTGCAACATATGCACAATTATGTAACAATTATGGTGAACTAAGTCTCCTAGAAATTTCCAAAATATTTTTTTTGCCTTTTTTTAACCTCTAAATCCATATAAATCAAGGGAAAATATTCTTGCACATATGTATATTTAAACATGAACCTAACCAAAAGTAAGAGAAATTTGAAAAAGTATAACATATCAAAATGTGGAAATTTCTGTGTTTAGGGAAAAATCTATCCCATTAAGAGCTTGCATTAGAAAAGAAAAATTACCTTGAAATTATGATGAAAGCTTCCAACTTGTTATTATAAAAATGAGAACAAATTAATTCTGAAGCAATCAGAAAGAAGAAAATAATAAAGGTTAATGAAGAAATAAACAACATTAAATGGAGAAAAATTATATAGCTAAGTAAATTAAACTAAATTTAGATCTTTGAAGGGATCAATAAAATTGTTAAATCTCTGGCCAGACTATGGAGAAAATAATAGGAAATAAATAATTTACAAATTTTAAGAATGACAGAAGTGGCTGGGGTTGGTGGCTCATGCCTGTGATCCCAGCACTTTGGGAGGCCGAGGCAGGCGGATCGTTTGAGGTCAGGAGTTCCAGACCAGCCTGGCCAACATAGTGAAGCCCTGTCTCTACTAAAAATACAAAAATTAGCTGAGCGTGATGGCGCCTGCCTGTATTCCCAGCTACTCGGGAGGCTGAGGCACAAGAATTGCTTGAAGCTGGGAGGTGGAATTTGCAGTGAGTAGAGATGAGGCCACTGCACTCAAGCCCGGGCGACAGAACGGGACTCTGTCTCAAAACAAATAAACAACAAAAAAAGAATGATAGAAGTAACATTTCCATTGTCCTACAACAGTTTAAGGATAACTAAATGAATACCATGATGAAATTTATAAATGTAAATTAGTTAATTTAGATTAAGTGTATAAATCCCTCAAAAGATACAAACTAAGGCAAACTCAAAAAGAAAGCAATAAAATGCACATCCCTATATATCTGTTTTAAATTTATTAATACCCACCTAGATAAACGAACTGACAAATTTTACTAATATTTAAGGAGATATAATTTATACATTACACAAAAGTTTAAGAAATAAAAAAGAGGAAACACTTTTCTTTTTTTTTTTTAATAAGAGGTTGCTTTGTACTTTTTTTTTTATTATACTTTAAGTTTTAGGGTACATGTGCACATTGTGCAGGTTAGTTACATATGTATACATGTGCCATGCTGGTGCGCTGCACCCACTAACTCGTCATCTAGAATTAGGTTTATCTCCCAATGCTATCCCTCCCCACTCCCCCCACCCCACAACAGTCCCCAGAGTGTGATATTCCCCTTCCTGTGTCCATGTGATCTCATTGTTCAATTCCCACCTATGAGTGAGAATATGCGGTGTTTGGTTTTTTGTTCTTGCGATAGTTTACTGAGAATGATGATTTCTAATTTCATCCATGTTCCTACAAAGGACATGAACTCATCATTTTTTATGGCTGCATAGTATTCCATGGTGTATATGTGTCACATTTTCTTAATCCAGTCTATCATTGTTGGACATTTGGGTTGGTTCCAAGTCTTTGCTATTGTGAATAATGCCGCAATAAACATACATGTGCATGTGTCTTTATAGCAGCATGATTTATAGTCCTTTGGGTATATACCCAGTAATGGGATGGCTGGGTCAAATGGCATTTCCAGTTCTAGATCCCTGAGGAATCGCCACACTGACTTCCACAATGGTTGAACTAGTTTACAGTCCCACCAACAGTGTAAAAGTGTTCCTATTTCTCCACATCCTCTCCAGCACCTGTTGTTTCCTGACTTTTTAATGATCGCCATTCTAACTGGTGTGAGATGGTATCTCATTGTGGTTTTGATTTGCATTTCTCTGATGGCCAGTGATGATGAGCATTTGGTACAAGGAGGAACTGGTACCATTCCTTCTGAAACTATTCCAATCAATAGAAAAAGAGGGAATCCTCCCTAACTCTTTTTATGAGGCCAGCATCATTCTGATACCAAAGCTGGGCAGAGACCCAACAAAAAAAGAGAATTTTAGACCAATATCCTTGATGAACATTGATGCAAAAATCCTCAATAAAATACTGGCAAAACGAATCCAGCAGCACATCAGAAAGCTTATTCACCATGATCAAGTGGGCTTCATCCCTGGGATGCAAGGCTGGTTCAATATACACAAAGCAATAAATGTAATCCAGCATATAAACAGAGCCAAAGACAAAAACCACATGATTATCTCAATAGATGCAGAAAAAGCCTTTGACAAAATTCAACAACCCTTCATGCTAAAAACTCTCAATAAATTAGGTATTGATGGGACGTATTTCAAAATAATAAGAGGAAACACTTTTCAACATGTTTTATGAGTCTACCGTTATCCCCATACCAAAACCATAAAACAGACATTACAAGAAAATGTCCTGTAGACAAATATGTATTTTGATGATGAATTTAGATTTCAAAAACTTCAGCAAAATATTATCCAATTAAATCCTCTCATGTCTGTGTGTGTGTGTGTGTGCATGCACGTGTGTTTGTAAAATATATCATTACTAATTGGCGTTTATCTTGGGAGTTCAAGATGGTTTCCATATTCAATCAACCCATCAATGTGGACTATGGTCACTTGAAAAGACCAGCAAATCCTCTGCACAAAAGGCCACTAGAAATTCATTAAAGCAGCCTTCCATCATTCTCGAAATTGACCAAAGCATTCAACTACCTGAGAAATATTTATGTTTGGAAAGCTATTGAAATGCAATTAAAAATATCAGGAAACCTGTTTTTACCTTTTGTCCTAATCTTGCTAAATCCTTCTTAATTTTAGGAGACACTGCTTCTCCTTCCACTGTTCTTTTACTTTCTCCTTCCCCTTTGTTTTTGCCTCCCCCTTCCTCTCCCTTTTCTACATTCCTTCTCTCTCCTAAATGCTGTATAAATTTCTACATATGTAATCATATTATTTACAAATAGGAACAGTTTTACTTATTTCTTTCCAGTCTGCATTTATTTTATTCTTCCTTTTTTTCCTTACACACTGGATAGAACTCTAAGTATTATGTTGAAAAAGAGTGATAAAAGCAAACATCTTTGCTTTATTCCTGAGCATACATGTGGAAAACATTCAGTGTTTCACAGCTAAATATGATGGATTTTTTGTATGCTCTTTATCAAGATGAAGGAATTTTCTGCTATTTCTGGTTTGCTGAATTTTTATCACAAGTAACTGTTGAATAGTGTCTTTTTCCCCTGCATTTATTGAACTGATCATGCATTCTCCTATTTTAGAATATTAATATGATGAACTATATTATTAGATTTTTTAAAATATTGCAACTGTCTTGCATTTCTGGAATAAACATGGCTTGGTCATGTGTCACTTTTTTACATAGTGTCGTATTCAAGTTGTCGAGGATTTTGCATCTAGGGTATATTTGTAGATTTGCATCTAGGTTATGTTGGTCTAAAGTTTTGTTTGTTTGTTTTCCTTTTCTTTTTTTTTATCATCTTTGTCTTCTTCTGTTTAAGTGTCATGCTTGCTTCATAAAATGAATTGAGAAGCATTTCTTCCTCTTCTGTTTCTCGAAAATTGTAGAGAACTCTTGTTTTTTGTTGTTGTTTGTTTGTTGTTTTGTTTTTTCTTATTTTTATCCTCATACTGAGAACCAAACAGTCTGGAGTGTAAAACATGGTTCCTCATTCCAGTTAAATCTAGTATACAATGACAACAACCCTCTTGGGTTAAGCATTGGCCTACAAACAGAAAAAAACCTTCAGGGAGATAGATGCTGATCTAGGCATTGTGAGAAAAGCTGAATTCATTTTTAATCATGAATGGCTTTTAAGGAAAGAAGATTTATTAACTAAAATAAATAGATTAGAGGGAATTCTCACCTATGAGAGAGGAAGGGATGGGATTCAACCTGGAAAAAGTAATGAAGTTTTAGTGAACTTGGTAAGGTAGACTCAACAATTAATGATGGATAATGCTAGGACCCAACACTGGTAATGAGTTTGTATTATGACTCAATAGCATCACTTTATCACTTTAACACAGATGGAGGCCTAAATAACCATAGGGTAATGGTTCTTCTTAGATGCAGAAGGACACATTTATATAATCTTAGGGACCCCATCTCTGAGGTCACTCATAATTTATATTAATTCATTGTTATTGCCATTGCCCCAAGAATAGATAAGGATAAGACATCCTGTAGTACAGGTAGCAGAGATATAAACTATTCTTATTCTTGTGTCTTGTCTATAGGAAGGGAGTGTATCCTGGTGTAAGACAGCATATAGTAGAGACCATTGTCAATTAGGGCCTGTGAACTAAGACAGGGTGACTGGCTAAGTCCACAACCCATTAGAAACCCAGAAATAATCAAATCATGGTGAGTAGTAATAACACTTATTTATAATACTATACGGTATAAAGACAAGAACCAATTATGTTGAGTAGCTGTAACAAATAGCTCTATCATTCGTAATAACTTTTTCTGTAATAAAACTGAATTGTAACATGATCATACTGCAATATGACATTACACTAGCATTGTTGGTAAGATTCAACTATCTTATGTAGAGAAGTTATATAATGCTTATATTGATAATCAAATGTATTAAGATATTGAGTTAAAGCCTCTTCAGAATGTAATCTGGGTGAATAATAAATGGCCTGAGAAAACAGAATTCAGCTAACCATTATCTAATTTCAATGCTAAATAGTTCTGCACAGATTTATCAAAAAGTAAAAATAAAAGCAGATTGAGAGGAGGAATGAATAATTTTGTTTGTACAAAATATTAAAGTGTATGTAATGGGCTTGTAGGATGCATTAGTAATTTTTAAAAATCAATCTTTACCCTACACTGTGTCCATAAAATGCTAGGCATATTCATGTTAATATTACTGTTGTTACTGTCATATAAATGCCATATTCAATGTAGATGCTCAGAAAAATATGATTGTTTTGCTACAGGAGAGATTAGACCAGGGACAATAAATATGGATTAGGCAAGAATGTGTTAACTCAGCAGCCCAGGGTTTTTTCAACCCTGCACATTCAAAGGTAAGGTTTGTTTTTAGGACTAGCTAGCCTCTGAGTTCTGGAAATAGTCTTACCGTGAAGAGTGTTTTTGTATATCTGAGGCCTTGGGTTTATGGTGAATGACTGACTTATATGCCTGAGGCCCTGAGCCATGCTGTATTTATTTGAACCATGTGGTATCAATTTAACCAGATACGTTTATTCTAAGATATGATTTATGCTGAATGCCTGGTTTTGTTCTAGAGGGATCATGGAAAGGAAGCTGAATTTGCCAAGTTTTGCCACTTGGGCATTGCATGCCTATGTGATTAACCACCAATAAAAACCTGGGACATCAAAGAATAAATAAGCTGCTCTAATTGCCAAGAATTCACATGTGGTTGTATGCAGCTTTACTGGGAGACTGAAGTGTATCTGCATGTGATTCTGCTGTGATGGACACTTGTAAGTTTGTGCCTGGAGTCTCCTGGACTTTGCCCTGAGAATCTTTTTCCTTTGTTGATACGACTCTGCATCCTTTTGTTTTAATAAACTGTAAACATGAGTATAATTGCTTCTCTGAGTTCTGAGAGTTTTTTAAATAAATAATCAAAGCTGAAGAGCAATGGAGACCCCCACCAAAACATCTTTACACATTTCAATTTTGTATTGAAGTAAATTTTATTTTCTTTTTTATACCTCCCATATATATTCTATTTTTCTCATTATTATTTATTTTATCCCAAATCTTTTATCTGTGATCATTTTCCTTTGTTTGAAATTTGTCTTTTGACGTTTCTTTGGAAGGTGCTTTTGGATGATAAATTTTCTGTTATTCTTTGTCTAAAATGTCATTATTTTGACTCATTTATAAAAGGAGTTTTTGTGTTTTATAAACCTCTAATGTATAGAAGTGTGTCTAAACTCATTGAGGATATTTTCCAAATTTTTTCCTACTTTTTATTGCTGTTGATAAGAAGTCAGTGTTGGTATTTTGACATTTAAGTTATGTGTCATTTTGTTGTGGTAGTTCTGAAGATCTTCCCTCTGTTTTATATTCTCCTTCACCTTTCATAAATGTACTTTATATTTATTTGGTAATAAATTTTGAACATATACTATGCTATAAAGATAATCTAGGCCCTTTGGTTACATCTTGTAAATAAAATCAACAAAATCTGTTTTGAGATTATATTGTAATATAAGATACCCAAAGTAACTAGGATGTGTACCATATGTTTGAAGGTGGTAAATACGATGAGAAAAATAGATCAGGTCAGGAAGAATGAAGATGATTGAAGGTACAGTTTATGATGAAAACTTAGGTGTGCCGAGGAATGATTCATCTTATGTATCTTGAGTGTAATGTCTTATTTCTCCTGAATCTGAGAATTTGATGTCTTTCATTAGGGATGTCAGTAAATCTCACTAATGAATATATTAGACTCCAGTTTAATATATGATAGTCATTTTCATTCTGTCTTTCATATCACTGAATCCTTTCTCTTTATTGTTCATTTTTATACATCTCTTAATAGTCAAAGTGAATTTAACTATGTTTTACGTTATGTGGTTATTCTCACTTTAGCTATCTCTAACATATTATGAATGTGTCAGTTGTGTGTTTACCGTTGTTTGAATTAAACTTTTAAATCATTCATTTTAATTCTTACTTAATTCAAACTTGTTTGTTATACATTCTTATAATTCCAGTATCTGGAGTCTTTCTTCATGTGATTCTTTTATCTCCCTGTTTTCCTCCTATATTCTTTTCATGCACCATCTTTCTCTGTGTGTTTTGTTTTGTTTTACTGTCAATTCCTAACTAATAGAAGTATATTTATGCAAATAATTTTAGGATAGAATTGAAATAGGTTTCCCAAAAGGATTATATAAATTTGTTTGTACCAAGGGCCCAGGGTTATAAACAGAATGAGATCACTTTAAATTTCTGTCTTGAGGATTTTCAAGTTACACAGGTCATATTAGTGAGAACCCCAGAAAAGGGCATTCTTTTTTTTTTTTTATATTTCACTTTACGTCCTGGAATACATGTGCAGAACGTACAGGTTTGTTACATAGGTATACATGTGCCATGGTTGTTTGCTGCACCTATCAACCCGTCATCTAGGTTTTAAGCCCCACATGCAGGTATTTGTCTTAATGCTCTCCCTCCCCTTGCCCTCCACCCCCAACAGGTCCCGGTGTGTAATGTTCCTCTCCCTGTGTCCATGTGCAGAACCTGCAGTTTTGTTACATAGGTATACATGTGCCATGGTGGTTTGCTTCACCCTTCAACTCGTCACCTACATTAGGTATTTCTCCTAATGTTATCCTTCCCCTAGGCCCCCGCCCCCTACAGCCCCTCCCTGATGATCCCCTCCCTGATGATCCCCTCCCTATGACCATGTGTTCTCATTGTTCAACTCCCACTTATGAAAACATGTGGTGTTTGGTTTTCCTGTGTTAGTCTGCTGAGAGGGATGGCTTCCAGCTTCATCCATGTCCCTGCAAAGGACACAAACTCATCCTTTTTTATGGCTGCATAGTATTCCATGGTGTATATGTGCCACATTTTCTTTATCCAGTCTATCATTGATGGACATTTGGGTTGGTTCCAAGTCTTTGCTATTGTAAATAGTGCTGCAATAAACATACGTGTGCCTGTGTCTTTAGAGTAGAATAATTTATAATCCTTTGAGTATATACCCAGTAATAAGATTGCTGGCTCAAATGGTATTTCTAGTTCTAGATCCTTGAGGAATCACCATACTGTCTTCCACAATGGTTGAACTAATTTACACTCCCACCAATAGTGTAAGAGTGTTCTCTTACTACACTTCCAATTTGGCTGGACTTTGAACTTTGTCTCTGGTCCCCTGCTTTTTACAGTCCCAAGAAACATGGCCTCATCCTTATCAAGACCAGAGAATGCTCTCAAGGTAAAACCTTAATTTTCATAAAATTATTGTCTTCTTGCCTGATCATTGTGACACTAAAGCAAGATTTTTTTAATGTTTCATCCAACTTTTAAGAATTATTTTAGTGGTAGGACTGAGCCAGGTTTCTAATCCACACTACTGCAGATAAAAAAATGACAAAAGGTAACTTTCAAAAATAGAGGCCGGGCGTGGTGGCTCACGCCTATAATCCCAGCACTTTGGGAGGCCAAGGCGGGCAGATCACGAGGTCAGGAAATTGAGACTATCCTGGCTAACACGGTGAAACCCCGCCTCTACTAAAAATACAAAAAAAATTAGCCGGGCGTGGTGTCCGGTGCCTGTAGTCCCAGCTGCTCGGGAGGCTGAGGCAGGAGAATGGTGTGAACCCACAAGGTGGAGCTTGCAGTGAGCCGAGATCGCGCCACAGGACTCCAGCCTGGGCGACAGAGAGACACTCCATCTCAAAAAAAAAAAAAAAAAAAAAAAAGAAATTCATCTTTTTTCATGAAAGATTTATTATACATTCTAAATAAAATGGAGATAGAAAGTTAGCATTTGAACTTTAAAGTTGTTAGCATAAGGAGCAATGAAAACTAAATTTCTCCTGGGAGTTACTCATTTTTCTGGGTTGTAAATGAATGCCATATTATTTTTTGATGTTTAATGTAAAATATTATTGACTGTAATAATCCAATATGATCTAGGATATTCAGTCTTACACAACATAGGGATACAGTATAGGTTGATGTACATCCAAAATTATAACACACTTTGTTCAAACACAATGCATATTACATTTTCCTGTAGCTCAAATCTGTGTTATCTGTATTATTAAGAGATATAAGGAGAGGATTCAAAATAATAGCTGAAGAATTCTCATTAATTTTATGAATCTAGTAGATCAAAATGTTACTCTAACATTAATAATTTCATAATACAGACTGTGAGGCTTACATAAATCTGTTTCAAAAAATGTATAGCACTCTTTAGCTTTCATGTTGTAAGACATTCAGAATATAATCCAAAATAAAGTTGTAATAAATTATTGCATTTTAATGAGTATTTTAACATAAAATGTGAGTTTGGGATTATTATAAATCCAAAGACACATAAACTCAGTTTCTAAAAGATATGATTGAGGGGAAATCATGATTTATTATATCTTCATTTTATCAAAAAAAGACACAGTTATTATTTATAATAAAAATGATTACAATGCACACATACTCTTTTGTGAGTTGCCACAGAATTTTCTATTACCAAAACCTGTCAAGTTCAACACATGTCTAGAATATGTATAAATAAAGGTTGATCTGTGATATTAGATATTATCAAATAAAAAATACTCTTATTGAAAAAAATGTGATTCCTTATGACAACTTCAGGGCATCTTCTATTTGCCCCCTGTCATCAACAGGGGAAATTTTCTTTCCTACATTTCTCACTAATCATTTCTGACAAGTAGTTGGCAAGCTTAACTATAAAGGGTCGTCCATAGGGTTCTAGGTCAACCTTACCCTTTGGGAAGAAAGTATACATGATGTCTATGAATAAATGCCCTCCAACAAAGGAAAAGGACAATGCTTTACATAGTGTGTGCATAATCATTTTTCAACATAATTAGCTTATTTGTGACATGATTTTACTGTCATTGCAGGTGTTTGACATGACCCACGCTTTTTCTTTGTGCCAAGAAATACAATGGTTTTGTATTACATTAATACTTTAGATCATCTATAATATGAGTCAGGTTTGGTTAAAAAATATATAAAAATAAAAATCTCAGTTCTATTTAAAATACTAATGAAAATATCCTACCAAAGTAAGACATTAGCAATGCATTATCTGTCACTTGATATTTTGTGTGTTTGCTCATTTCAACAAGGGAAAGAGAATTAGAAAATTGGAAGAAAAATATTTAAGTAATTCTTGTAAAATTAATATACATATTAAATATCATGAAGGGTAGAAACAGAGTTAACATTTAAAATGTTTATAACTAATGTGTAAATTTAATTGAAAGCCAACTGATTGCTCTGAAATTTTATGAGGAATAATCACAATTGTACAGAAAATAACTGACACCGAAAGTATCTACCTTTTCACATTTAAATGCAAGTGACTTTTTGTTCATTCATTCAAAAATTATGGATTATTATACTTTAGCTTAAATGTTTGTCTCCCCTCTAAAAGCCATTTTGAAACTTAATCCTCAATGCAATAGTATTAAGAAGTCAGGCCTTTAGGAGTAATTAGGCCATGACGACTCTGTACTCATAGATGGGATTAGTGCATTACAAAAGGGCTGAAGGGAACTAGCTAATGTAAGGACACAGCATTCAAGTTACCATTTTAGAAGCAGAAACTGGGACCTCACTTGGTGCCAAACCTGCCAGAACCATGGTTTTGAACTTTTCAGCCTCCTGGACTGTGAGAAACAAGTTTCTGTTCTTATCAGTCTCAGCTATTTTGTTACAGAAGCACAAGCGAACTGAGACCTGAGATGGGAGTGTTTATGTGCTAGGTATGGAGCTAATTTCTGAATAAATAAAGATGAATACATTCTATGACCTCATCATCTAGTGCCTGTTACAGTCATGCAGTGGATATTTTTTCTTGCCTTCTTATTACTCATTTTTGCTCTCCTCACTAAATATTGAGGAAAACATGAATGCATCATCAGTTTTTCCACTGATACAACTGTTTAAGAAGTACATATGACATTATATTTTTTCTTTCTGTATTCTGTAGACTTACCTGTAAAGTCTAAGGCTAACATTGACTTTATGCTAATTAGTACTGTGTTCATTTCAGATGTGTAATATGCCTTGTACAAATATAAATAGATAAAACATTAAAGGTGCTACTACTCAAAACACACAGGGAATAAAATATTCTATTTGAAACATCAACATAGAGTTTACACTGAGGGAAATTTTTATTCATTAGTTTAAATGGGGCAAAATACAATAAATATTATTTGGTTAAAATAGAGAAAGTTAAGTGGAAAGATGAAATGATGAAGAGCGCAGAGAAAATTGTTCAGTTTGCATACAAATTGGGAAATTAACACCTAACCTGCCTAGGTAGAATTTCATAGCGTTAACTAAAATAATTACTTAAACTTACAAGATTTATTAGAAAAATATGAATAGAAAAATAAAATGCATTGTTGCATTTTATGTAATTTTACTTGAACTTAGTTTATAACATGTACATAGATTAAGTTGATTTAAATATTTTATGTACAAAAAACTATATTGTTGAAGATTCTAAGAGCTTAAAACTAAAATACAAGATAAACATTTACTTTACAAAAATAGTAAATAAGATGAAGAATTTGAAAGAATTTAAGAATTAATTTCAGTTTCTTTTCCAAAATGTATGTGGTTAGCCTACAATGCTTTTACAATCTGTTATTTTATGAGTATGAATATTGATTTTATTATTACCTAAACATGTATTATTTTTAAAGTATGGCAAAAGAATTAAAGTTCTATAGTTTGACAAAGCTGTAAAGCAGATCAATCCTTTGACAGCTTAATGAATAAAGCATGCATGTAGTTGACACTAATTCATTTAATAAACATTTGTAGAACATATATGTGTAAGAAATTGTGCTAAGGAGATGAATGGCACATTAAAATAAGAAGACAAGTTTCCAGATACTAAGGAGTTTATGTAACTGTAAGGTACATAAAACAATACAAATGAAAAGGCTAAAATAAGTCAGAAAATGAAGGGAAGAAAACAAATATCCATATTAAGTATACATAATATCTCAAATATTCTTTAAGATGTCTTAAATAGATTTTAATATTTAATCCTAATGACAGGATAATCTGATTTATTACAGATGATATAACTGAGGCTAATACAAATCTGTTGACTTTAAATTTTCAAAGTCTTCCTGAATTATTTGACTGTGTAATATTTTGGTAAACATAAATAAGTGGATACTAATGCATTGAAACAGAAACAGAATACTGTTCAAGAAATAGAAAAAAATGAAACAATAGAAAAGATTGAATTTGTAGTATGACTACAATTTAAGATTTAATAAAGACAAAAATAGAAACCAATATGTAGTTAGGAGGATAGAAAAAAGTACAGTGGACCCTCCATATCCATAGGTTCTGCATGTGTGGATTCAACCACCCATGGATCAAAAATATTTGGAAAAACATTTATGAAAAAGTGAACACATATGGAATTCTGCCTTGTCATTATCCCCTAAAGAACACACTATAACTACCTACATAACATTTACATTGTACTTGGTATCATAAGAAATCTAGAGATGATTTAAAGTATGTGACAGTGTGGATGTAGGTGTATAAAATACTATTATACATCATTTTATGGAAGGGTCTTGAGCATCTGTAGATTTTTGTGTCTGAGGGTTCCTAGAACCAGTACCCCACAAATACAGGGGAACAACTGTAATGAGTTCCTAGTAAACTAGGCTGAAGTATTATAACTGTACACAAAATAATTTAAGGCAGAATGATTAAATAATATATAGCAGTATGTATAAGAAGTGAAGATAATTGAAAATTAAATTCATAGGAAAGACATGACAAATATAATGAAATCAATGGAAAAGTTAAAACTTTAGCAAGATGTACAAGCAAGGATTGGGTAGATTTCATCTGAAAGATGTAATTTCTAATGACAAAGTACTTTAATAGTCTAGCCTAATATTTTATTGTACCTTAAAACTTCCCTCTGGCTCATTCTGGTCTTATCACACCAGCTTTCTTATGGCTTCTTTTATCTGCCAAGAATTATGCTCTGGTCTAATTGACCTCCCCAAATTTGTATATTAAAATTCTCACCACCAAGGTGATAATATTAAAAAATGGGCAATTTGGTAGGTGACTGGATCATGGGAGTGGAGCCCTTATGAAAGGTGCCAGAGAGACCCCTCCCTCTTCCACCATGTGAGGTTAGACTGAGAAATACATCTCTGTGGTTTATAAGCTTCTCAGTCTATGGCATTTTGTTATAGCAGCCCATGCTAATGAATACAGATGACCGTGTGTCTGCAGACCTTCCTAGGAAATTATTGAGTCCTTCATTGAATACTAAACTGTGAATACATGAGAGAAAATAACAGAAGCCTGGGGTAAAATGCCAACACAAAGGGTTTGAAGAACAATTCTCAAAGCTCAAGAAAGCTCTGCAAATATTATTGTTGCCACAAACCAAAGTAGAAGACAGGGTAATATATGAGCTATTAGGTAGAATCTTTGGAAGAATCCTGCTTTTGTGATGGAACTCACTCATTCCTAAACCTAAAGCAACTCTACATCTTCTCTAAGAAAATTTTATAGCAATCTCTAAAAGCATCAAACTGATTCCAAATAATTTAACTGTGTTTGAGAACAAAATACAAATATACAAAAGGAATTCAACAAAATCCATCACATAACAATATAGAATTCACAATATCTGGTTTTGATGAACATAATAATTAGTGTTGAAACATGTTAATTCAGTTGTTAAAAATATGCTTTATTTTTTCAAATAAGATGGGAAAATATGTATATTATGAGAAAATAAAAATGGAAGAAATAAAAACAAGCAGACTCCTAAAACAGAAAAAATAAGTATATTAGATTAAAAATGTATGAATAAATTTAACAGCACTTTAACCATTGTAGAAAAAATACCAGTGATTTTGATAACATAACAATATAAACTATCCAAAACAGAAAACATAGACACATTTGAAAAAACAACCACACTGTGTTGGACAATATCAAGCAGCATAATACAAGAAGAGATGGAGTCCCAGAAGAACACTGAGTGGATGTCTGTGTGTGAGTATGTGGTAGGGAAGAACAAAACCAAAAATACGAAGAAATGATTGCCAAAATGTTATTAGAATCACAAATAAAGACAAAATGGCAAGGTAAACTATTGTCTAATTTCTGAAAATCAGTGATAAAGAGAAAAATCTTAAAAGGCATCAGAGATGACAAAATAATCCACATCAAAAGAAATACACACACACACACACACACAAATACGGGCAATTTTCTTCAGAAACTATGAAAACTTGGAGACAATGGAGCAATCATAAATAATTAAATAATAAAAAACAGCTTTATCTACATTTTTATAACAAGTAGAAAATTTTAAGCACTAAAGTAAAATAGGGCTCGTTTATTTTTAGAAAATTAAAAATAGGTTTGGAACTAGGGTAAAGTAAATGACACAACTAGGTCCCAAAACCTAAAGAGCTACTCACTTTCAGAGTTATATATTTGAGATTGAGAGTGCAAGACTTGTGCCTTGTGTGACCCGAGAGAGTTCCTCATTAAGTTTTTCACCAGAGGTAATTTGCTCATCTCAACGTTGTCTCAGCACTGAACAAAATCTAAAGAATTTCATTGTCAGCCACCCTCCATTGTCATTTATAAGAAAGAGTCCTAAGGCAGAAGTAAAATTTTATGAGAAGTATATGTGTGTCTGCAGAAAAAAACTGGCAATGTATTATACTGCATATCAAGTGATATACTGTTATTTGAAAGTAGGCTGTGATGAGTTAAGTATTTATATTTTAAAACTTAAAGTAGAAGTATTTATATTTTAAACCTTAAAACAGAAGTATTTATATTTTAAACCTTAAAGCAGAACCTAAAAAAAAGTACATTAGTAAACCAATAGTAGAAATAACATAAAATAATGAAGTACATATTTAACTAATCTACAAAATGTAAAAAAAGGATAAAAAATTGAACAAGGAGCATATAAGATAAATAGAAAACATAGCAAGAAGGTATATTTAAACCTAAGCTTATTCATAATCACATTACATTACATGTAAATCATTCATACACATCAATGAAAAATCAGAAATCTAATTCTGTCTACTAAAATTCTACTGTAAATATAAATACATAGATATCTGTGTGTGTAGTACAAACAAAAATTTATAGAAAACTAGAGTTACTATATTAATGTCAAACTAAATATATTTCAGAACGAAATATATGACCAGTGATAGAAAATATACTCACTGATTATAAAGGGGTCAATTTATTAAGATAACTAAACAATATTAACACAAAGAAACTATACAAGTTAAGGTGATGAATATCAGAATCCTGATTTGATAATTGTATGTCATATGCTTGTATGCATATGTATCCCATACATATGTGCAACTATTATGTATCCATAATAATTAAAAATTTTTTAGAAATAAAGAATTAGATAAATGTAATAGTGCCATGTGTTTATGTTAGAAAAGAAAAAAGAATCTAATCAGTTCCTAAAGCAAATTAAACCCAAACAAAACAGAATGCTGTTGTCTGAATGTTTGTGTCTCCTCGAATTTCCTATGTAGAAATCCTAACTCCCAAACTTATGTTATTAGGAGATGGGGTCTTTTGGGAGGGGCTTAGGTCATGAAAGTAGAGATCTGGGGCTCTTTTATAAGGGTACTAAATTAGTACTACATTAAGGATAGTAAATGAGTAGTTTTCTTACATAAGAGACCCCAGAGAGCTACCTTGCTCTTTCCATTATGTGAAGATGCAGAGAGAAGGAACCATCTATGAACCAGGAAATGGGCCCTCATCAGACATCAAATCTTTGAGAGCCTTGATTTCAGACCTCTCAGCCTCCAGATCTATGAGAAGTAAATTTATAAGTTATAAGTTTATATTATTATAAATTATAAAATTATGTTGTTTATAAGCCACAACAAAAAGGTATTTTTCTATTGCAGTCAAAATGTACTAAGGTACAAAGAAATAATAAAATACATATAAGAACAAAAATCAATAAAAATTGAAAGAACACCAAAATGGAATATCAATAAAATAAAAAGCTCATTTATTAAAAAATGAAAAAATTCTAGCTATACTCAACAAAAAAGAGAAAAAATACTAAATACTAAAGCCAGTAATGAAAGACTGTCACTAATTATACTACAGGTTATAAAATGATAGTAAGCACACAATGTTTAAACTTTATGCAAATACATTTTAAAAGTTTGGTAAACGGACACATTACTTGAGAGAAAAGAGGTTACAAAATTCACTTAAAAATAAAGAGACACCATGAATAATCCTGCATCTATTAAATACATTAAATCTATAATTTGAAACTCACATACAAAATAATTCCAGGTCAGGAAGGTTTCACTCTTGTATTCTCACAATCTTTAAAGAATAAATAGTAACAATTCTATGCAAAGTCTTTCAGAAATAAAAGAGGAAGCAACCCTAACAGTACATTATATGAGGTACAGATTACCCTTAAAGGAAAAAAATAGGTAGAGATTAACAGAAAACTACAGATCTACATTTTGATTTAAAAAATTTGTATAGGATTATTTTATTAAAAGTAGAAAAGCATTTGATGACATTTCACACATATTCATAATAAAGACTTACAGAAAAGTAGGCAAGAGAAACAAATTATTTCAAAAGTAATAAACATATATAAAAATAGTTAATATAGTGAAATACCAAATGGTTCCTCCTACTATAAGAAAGAATGCAAAAATATCCACTATGAACCATTCTGTTTGATACTTAGAAAACTGCAATACAGTGCTGAGAGACATTAAGGCAGACCTAAATAAATGGAGAGATAAACCAAGTTCAATAATTTGAATGCTTTATAGTGTTAAGAAGGTAGTTCTACTAAATTGATTTCTAGATTAATTGCAATATCAGTCCAAATCTCAGCAGGCTTTTTATATAAATAACAAATATTTTTTCAAAATTACTATGTAATGTTATAAAATATTATAAATTAATATTGAAAATATTTTACATGAAAGTTCAAATTTCTGGACCCTTTTAAGGTAAGAGGATGGCAGTGTTTCTATGGTATAAACACTAAGTATATAAAAACTGAAGACTTCTATTAATATCAGACAAAATGGGCCACAAATCAAGAAATATTTTTAGCAGGATAAAGATCAATATAATTGGTCCAATTCATCAAGAGAACCTGATAATGCAAAATGTTTTTTCACACATTAACAAACAATTATGCATTTAAAATATTCAAGACAAAAACTTACAGAATTGAGAAGAAAAATATACAAATCCACAATATATTTAAAGATTTGAAAACTATTTTCTGATATTATTAAACAAGTAAATAAAAAATTTTAAAGAAAATATCTACAAATTCAATGACATTATAACCTAACAAGTTCTAGGATGCATGGAATATTATATTCATCACCAGCAAAAACTTATTTTATTTTCCAAGTGCACTGACATTCATCACATGTTAGGTAACAAATAATAAAGTTTCAACAAATTTAACAGGATTAGATCATGGAGAGTATGTTCTCTGACCCAATAGAATTAAATTTAAAATAAAAAACAAAACCAAAACTACAATGAAATCCCCAAATATTTAGATATAATAAACTTCTAATGATGCCTTGTAGCAAATAGTAAATCAAAAGATAAATTAGAAAGTATTTTGGTCTGGATAAAAATAAAAACACTACAACTTCAGGATTCCTTTGGAGAAATACGAAGTTTTTAATGTTTGTATTAGAAAAAGGAGAAATGTCTAAAATTAATGACACAAATGTCTACCTGAAAAAGTGAAAAGAAAACCAAATTAAACAAGAAGTAGAAAGTAAAATATAGAGAAAAACTAAAATTTTATAAAGACATAACAGAAATACAAAAGGAAAAGATGAAATTTAAAACGGATTCTTTGATAAAAGGAATAAACTGAATTAAATTCTAGATAGTCTGAGAAAGATACAAAGACAGAAATCTGTCAGCAAGCACTTTCAGGAAATAAAGTGGGCAAGGTTGGGAAGATGGTGGGTGTTGTAAAGATACTACAAATATCTAAATGATAATAACTTAAATTATAAAAACTTTATGCCAATAAATTTGATAATGGTTGAATAAATTGTATGGTTAGCAAAATAATCTTTACAATTACTCTAGAATAAATAAAATTTCTTCATATCTTTAGATTTATTAAAGATACTGAATTTTAATTTAATACCTTCTTAGGGGAAACAAATTCCAGACTCAGGTGCCTTCACTGTTAAATTTCATTCTTTTTAAATAGGTAAATGTTACAGTGATTATTACTCAAGTGTATATCCTGAGAATTTTTACAATAATTTGTTACATAGATTAACTTTTTTTTCTTCAAAATACAACTAATTTACTGATTATACTTTTTGGGTCTTCTATTAACATTATTAGCAAAATTTAGAAAATTTATTCATTTATATACAAAATTAATAGATACATTAAATACTCTGTGCCACCCAATGCCCAATTCACTGAGAGCATTTTACTGAATAAACAAAAAATTTTGACCCTTGATTACCTTATTGTTGGAGGTAACAAACCATAGAAGATAGACAATAGTCAATGTAAAAATAAATAAGTGGTTTTGACAATGGACAATAAGCAAAAATACCTGTTCACTTGTTGTATTGGTCCGTTCTCACACTGCTATAAAGAGCTGCTAGATGCTGGTTAATATATAAAGGAAAGAGGCTTAATTGACTCAGAATTCTGCAGGTCTGGGGAAGCCTCAGAAAACTTACAATCATGCCAGAAGGGGAAGCAAACCATGTCCTTCTGCACATTGTGGCAGGAAGGAAAAGTGCAGAGTGAAGGGGGTAAAAGCTTTTTATAAAACCACCAAATCTCATGAGAACTCACTCACTATCACGAGAACAACATGGGAGAACCACCCCATGATCTAATCACCTCCCGGAGATCCCTCCCCCAACACATGGGGATTATAAATCTGATTATAATTCAAGATGAGATTTTGTGTGGGAATGGAGCCAAATTATATCACTAGAATAGATAATATATATAATACATAAGTAAATTTTATAGTATACTAGCAGATGGTTAATTCTACTAACAAATACAGAAAGGTAAAGGATGAAAGGGATCTCTTGCTTAAGAAAGGGATACACATTTATATGTGTTGATTTTAAGGAATCAACAAGGAATGATTAGCAAGACTTGAAGAGAAAGGAGAAGCCATGTGAGTCTCTGGGGTGGAATGTTACAGGCAAAGATAAAAGCCAGGAAAAAGCAGACACTTCCTATATTCCTGTATTCATCCATTTTTATGCTACTGATAAAGATATACCCCAGCCTGGGAAATTTACAAAAGAAAGAGGTTTAATGGACTTATGTTTCCACATGGCTGGGAAAACCTCACAATCATGGCAGATGGCCAGGAAGAGCAAGTCACATCTTACATGGATGGCGGCAGGCAAAGAGAGAGCTTGTTCAGAAAAACTCCCTCTTCTTTAACCATAAGATCTTGTGGGACTTATTCACTATCATGAGGATGGGATGGCCTGCCACCATGATTCAATTATCTCCCACCTGGTCCCTCCCACAACACATGGGAATTCAAGATGAGATGTGGGTGGGGACAAAGCCATACCATATCACCATCTCTGTGCAAATGCTCTCTCTCTTCTATTTACCTCTGCAATTCTAGCTAAATTTTCCTTTCTAAGCCCCAATCTTCAATTTCTCAATATACAGGGAGAGTTATCCTTTCTTTGGATTATCCTTTCACTGTGTTTTCTGGAAACTGAGAGAAAGCTTGGGATAAGTCAGATTTTATTTTTTCTTTTGTCAGGGATCAGCATCCTCAGCTTCTTGTCAATGGTTAAAAAATCACTGTTGATTATATTTTGTCTGCAGTTAGTTTTTATTTGTGTGTGTGTGTTTTTGTTTTTTGTTTGTTTGTTTTGTAAAGAATTTAGTTTAGTTCCTCTTACTGTATCATGGTGAAGTACAGCTATCTTCAACCTATTTTTTCTGACCAATCTTTGTCTTTATATTGATTTAACATTACTTTTTAAATTTAGTCTTAAAATTCTTACTTTAAATAGTAGTTTTAGACTACTTATATTTAATATTGTTATCTATATTTTGGCCTTAAATCTACTATCATAAAATTTATTTTCCATAAAATTTAATCTGTTCTTTATTACTATTTTCCACTTTTGATGCTTTATCTTGGATTAAGTGTTTAATTTTGAATTTTATTTTATTTCAATTAATAAGATTATTAGTCATATGTTTTTGTTTATTTTGTCCTGTTAGGTGCTCTAAGGTTTATACTATGTACCTTAACTTTCCAATAACATTAAGGTGACTGAATATTTTTGCCCTGATACCTAGAAAAAGACAAGCATGCTTGCTCTGATAAATTCTTTTGAAGCTTATACTACACGTCTTAGCAATGCATTGAGAGAGGTAAGAATACATACAATTTAGAAAGAAAAATGTCTTTCTTCACAGATATTATTATATTCTGTGCAGAAAATAAAAAAGATATTTGCAAAAAAGTTAGTAAAATTGTGTGTTTATCTAGATCACAGGATATAATAATAATATACAGAAATCCATTATATTTTGATAGATTTGCAATGACCATTCATAATCTGAGATTTAAAAAAAAAAACAAGGAAAATAAGGGAGTGCTCAAATGCTAAGGAAGGCATGTTAAAAGAGCTGAGAAACTTGAATAGTTCCTACTAGCAAAAATAGCAAAACTGAATCAATAAAATAAGTAAAGGAACAGATCATGGGCCACTGAAAGAAATAGGAATCCATGGGTCCACGTGAGATAAACCCATGAATTAATGAATGAATAAAAGAAGGAAACACTATTATTTTCCCACAGAGTGCCAACCAATAAAAGGAAAAGGGTTGATATTGTATGTTAAAAAATTATCATTTGAAAATCTTCACATTGTAATTTGATTGAGTGTTGAGGCATCAATGGATGCTAAACCTAGTGGGTAAATGTTGGAGAAGAAATGTATCTCTCCACAAAACACTTAATTTTAGATTAATTACATGTATATATACATGTATACAATAGATAGTCTATATATAAAATATCATTTCATGTCATGTTATATTAATATAAAGAAAATGAGGAGTACCTCTGCAATAGAGAAATCTGGAAGACATTACCTTTCAAATGATCAAAATTAAAATCACCACTGATGGGAAAAATTAATTTCATATATAACCTGAAGAAATATGATAAGAAGAGCATAGCACCATGTTGGTGATTTTATTGCCAATAATGCATGTCTTGACACCTCATTATGAGAAAACACCAGACAAATCGAAATTGGGAGACATTCTAAAAATAGAATCCATTGGAATATTACCTTCAAAAAATGTTTAGGATGCTATGAAGGGTGAAGAAGGACTATGGAATGCTTCTGATTTAAAGAAGTTAAAGAGACATAGAAACCAGGAACAACACATTATCCTGAAGTGGATTGTTTTTTATAAAAAGCATCAGGGCAGTTTGTGAACTAGAATGGGTCCTCTCTTGGTGATTGTTACATGACAGCTGTTTGCATCACCTTAGCAACTTAAAGATAAATTGTTTAAAGATAAATTGGCGTCGTTTCATACAAACATTAAAGAAAATGGTAATGTCCAACAGAGTGCCCACCTAATTACTGTTCCAGGGGTCCTCAGAGGCTGTTTTCCTACTGTCTTCTTGATTTTTAAAATATATTTTAGTTGATTGGTTTTATTCATGCCATAATTGGTGGAAATTAATCCTTGATTCTATAAATTTTTACCTAGTCCGTTTCCAATGTTTTTTGTTTGTTTGTTTCTCTTTCCTTACTTATTTATTTATGCTTTTCTTTTACTTTTTTTGTAAAGTGGAATAAGTTAGGAATGAGTATATTATGACCAACTAAACTGAGTAGTTTTATGTCAAGTTGCAAATTATGTTAAGTATCAAATATTTGATTTTTTTAGATTTCAAAATAGTCACGTTTTCAGAAAAAATCATTAGTAGTTTTCTAAAAATAAAATCCTCTTGATTCAACAAAACATACTTGATGTGGTTTTTCCTCCCAAAACAGGCTCCTCCTTGAGTTATTGGGAATAAGTAATGCTTCTCAATAAAGCTTCGTGTCAACAAATCTGAACATATAACATCTCAGCTAGAGCAAGTTACTAAAAATAGGCTCAATTTGTAGCTTGCAGTCATGCCTTCATAACCACTTTTCAATTAATCCTGCTTAATTCAGAGAATGTATAAATATGTAATTTTGCATGACTTTTAAGGCAGCCATTTTATTTTGAAACGCAACTAACGTTATATGCATAAATTCAATAAATATAAAGCTGTTTTCAAAAATTGAATGTTTTTACTTGTAAGTTATTCTTTCAATAATAATAAAGAGATGATCACTAGTCAGTTTATTTTTCATAGTTGAATTGATTTAGTTGAACTTCATTGGGTGTTCTTATGTTTTAGTCATGAGTCCATGCTCTTTAACAAGCTAAAGGAAACCATATTATATGCTAAAAGATGTCAGTTTGTGAACAATTTAATGAATATATAGAGTTACAACATTTTTCCCGATTGGATGTTGGGGTTTACTATAATTCTTTGTTACTTTATATGTGAATATACTCACTACTCACTATGTTTATGTATGTAGGAAACATGCTAGTGATGAAAATTCAAGCAGTTATTACCCTAGTTTTCTTTCATTAACAAAATACAGAATAGAAATTATCTACTTATTCTTGGAGGTCTTAAAATATCTTTTCAGTTGACTGATAATTCTGCTATCAAGAGCTACAAGTAGGTGCTCTGGCCGTCTATATCTGTATTTCCATATATTCAATTCCTTACTATATATTTCTCATTTGATATTCTATACCCAATTCAAACAAAACCATTTCATGTATACAATGTACTTTTATTTATGCTTTTCTCTATCATTAAGTAGAAAGCCATTTGCACCTTAGTCTAAATCTGAAATGTGCCTCTACCTAACCTTTCTAATACATTTTCACTATTTCTTAGTTATTAGAATAAATTTACATAATTTCTGAAACAACTTTCTCTATGGAGTATTCCCTTTAGTTTCTTTTCCCTTCCAAACAATTTAATGAATTACAAATATGGGGGAGATATTTTTTCAATGGGTAAGACTTGACTTCTACAAATACATGTTTAATTCCTTCTCAAAATTATTTCTACTTCCTCTTATTCAACACTGTGCTAGATTTTAGGGATATATAATAAGACAATATATGAGGTCCTTGCTGTTGTGAAAGGTACATTCTTATCTTTGGCAAATTGTAGAATCTTTAGCTTTGGTATGCAAGGGCATTGGTGTTTGGTACATGCTTGGCTCTTTGCCTTAAGAATTGCCTCTTTCCACCATGCATATTTCACCTGTGTGGGAATTCTTGCAGATCTCTGTATTATTGATAGTCATTTTGCTCTGACATTTTATACAAAGCTGAATCAGCAACAGTATGACTAAACACAACCAAAAAAGAAAGCTAGAAAGATTATATTAGACACTTACGTGTATGGATCATTATGGTGAGGACTGCTAAAAAAAACAAAACAAAACAAAAAAAACCTTCAGCCAAAATAGATTTACAGTTTAATCGAGTAATGAATGATTCATAAATTGGAAAGCCCCCACAATCACAGCAGATTCAGAGAGACTCCAGGGGTGTCTCATGGTCAGAATGAATTTATAGACAATACAAAGTAAAGTGACCCATAGAAATCAGAAGTGAGGTACAGAAACAGCTGGATTGGTTATGGCTTGGCACTTGCCTTATTTGAACACTCAGCTGTATGCGACTAGTTGAAGTATGGCTGCTGGAATTGGCCAAGACTCAGCGATTGTTACAGGCGCATATTCCTAAGTTAGGTTTTAGTCTTGTGTACCTATTGAGTTAGGTTGCAGTTCATTCACAAGGACTGAAATATAGAAGTATGGCGTTTTTCTCAGGCCATATTTAATTTGATTTAACAGGACTTTGGGTATGTCATTGTATTTTACTAATATATTTTACAAACACCCCATGTTATCTTAATCTATTTAAGTTCACACTTTTTAATCAAATTTTACTTTAAATGTATCTAACCTCCTAAATTTCTGCCTTTGTGAACCAATAATACTTTTTCCAAATTCTTATTATAGCATATATCAGACTATATAGCTATAGACACTTTGGCATCATTGTTTTCCCATACAAAACACAATACATTTAATGAATTAATGAATGATGCATCAGCAAAGAAGGTTTTACTGAAAGTAAGAAAAATTATAAGCCAGTTTGGGTTTCCCAAGAATCAGACACCAAGATGGAATTACACGTATAAGAGAGTAACCAGAGAAAACGCCTTTGAAGAATAAAGAGAAGATAGAGCAAGAGGCTGCAAGAGCCTCCAGATCATGATGCAAGCCGGCACCTCAAAAGAAGAGAGAGCATGAAAGATAATTGGAAAGGAGGAGCCTCAGAGAAGAGTGCAGATCTGAGAAATTGTCAGCCACACTGAAAGAGCACCAAAGTGAACTTTGACCTTTAGATGAGTCCATGTGGGACAAGAATGAAAAGCCCTATAATATCTTCCTTGCTCAGCATTGGCAGGGAGCAACCTAAGGAGAGCATGGCACCTGCATGTAAGCCAAAAATAAAATTCAATGTCCGTTAACCAACTAAATGGGCCCTTTATCTTGGCCAAGGGCATTTTAAACTAAACCTGAAACAGTAATGGCCATGATGGAAATGGGTGGTTGAACATGCTTCGTTATTTACTTTCATCCTTTCGGAATTCATGCATAGCTGAACAGTGTTAACATTAAAGTAGAGACTTAAGAATGACAAAACAGACTCTTCGTAGCAATAAGATATCAACATGACAGATAGCAGGCCTTGAAAGAAATCAAAGTATTTCACCACAAAAATACATTTCTTTGACATATTTTGAAATGGCCCTACAAGGCTGTTTCTGTGGGGAAAATCTCCATTTTGTAGAGAATCCCCTTCTCTTTCCAAGTCTTTTTCCTGATTTTTCCTGATTCCAAGTCCTTTTTCCTTTTTATGTCTGATAAAAATCATTTACAATCTATTCTCAGTGAAGCCTGCTACCTGCAAGCTTCATCTGCATAAGAACCTTGGTCTCTAAAACACCTTATCTTAACCCATACACTCCTGTCTATTGATTCCGGTCTTTAGATAAATTATTTTAGCCAGTTGTCAAATGCCAATCAGAAAATCTTCGAATTCACCTTTAACATGGAAGCCTTCACCCACCCCACCCCCACCTGCTTTGAGTTGTCTCACCTTTCCCAATTTTACCAATGTGTATCTTAGGTGTACTGATTGATGTCTTATGTCTCCCTCACATGTATAAATCCAAGCTGTAGCCCAACAACCTTGGCACATGTTCTTAGGATCTCCTGGGCTGTGTGACAGGCCGAGGTCACTCATATTTGCCTCAGAATAAATCTCTTCAAATATTTCACAGAGTTTGACTCTTTTCTTCAACATGCATTACCACTGTAGTAGCTCTGAAGTGGTTGAGTTGGAGGTAACCCACCAACAACCCTCCTCATGGAAATTTCTCTTGAATGAAAATATGGGAGGAGTAAATTCTTCACTGCCAAATACTATTTCAAATTCTTTCAAGCATAAGGTAAATTCATTATTTAACATAAAAGTCAATCAAGAGGTAAAAAGAGGTCACAGTTTGCTTACGTATTTTCTGGCACTTCTTTGCTATTGGCTGTGTCACTTTTACCCTTAACATTTCTGCAAAAATGTCTGCAGACATTTAGGGTCATCATATTCAGATACAACCTTACCCAGAAGACCAAGAAAGAGACACCAAGAGAAACATTTATCTTAAAAACTCTTAAGGTAATTTGCCCTGATTTGCCTTTGTACTGAATTGGGCCATATGCGTATTTTTGTTCTTATTTTTGGCAAAGAATCAGGCTATACTTAGAGTAATCACATCATACCTGAATCTGAAGACGAGACAGTAAACTTAGAGAAGTACTGAAGCCTTGGAAGCCTTGGATATATTGAATATGTTCTATTTTAGAAAGAAAAGGTGAGATAATGTATGCTGGCAGTCAACCAACAGCATATGCTCCTAATGAACAACTGGAGAGTCATTTAAGTTCAATGTTGGGGATTTTATTAGAAACTGTAAGATGAACACACAATTCATTTTCTCTTTCCTTGTAAATTTGGACAATATTTGCTATATTCGCCTATATTTTGGCATAGAAATTTAGGTTCTAAGTATATAGTAGTGATGTAGCCTTCTTACAGGGTCACATAGACCCAGAATTAATAATTTTTAACACTCTTTTTATTCTCTCTGGTTGGCTAACATTAAAACAATCCACAGAAAACCCCCAAGAGCTATGTATTGAGGATGGCAAAACCACAGATGGGAAAATAATAAATCTTTGAATGACCCTGCAGGAAATCACAGATAGCATTCCTATTATTTAAGCAAGCAATAACTTTTATTGTTTTAAGAGTTGGAGGTTTAATTTTTTCAGCATTACTGTTACCACAATTATTACAGGAAATGAAACCAGTAAAAAAAAAATAGAGGGAACAAGGTTTATTGACATCTATGAGGCATTTTCTTTCCCCTAATATTACATACTCTAGATTTTATTTCTGCACAAAAAATATTCTCTATGTCTAGCCTAAAGAACTATGTCTTATTCATATTTATACTCTTCATAGATCAAAAGTGTGCTTAAAATACTGTACATTTAATGAGTTATTTTTGAATGTAAGCAACTTTGAATTCATCTTTGCATTTTTAATCTTATGTTTCTATTAAATGTATTATTAAATTCTACTAACACTTTCCTCAAAATAATTCTCAATATTTTGGTTTTTAATTTTTTACTGCCTTTGCATTCTCCTGGCAGAGACCCATTTCACCTCTCCTATAGATTATTTCATAAAGATTTTATCGTCTGTATCATATATATTTACAATATTAAAAGTTATCTGTAGCACGCTCTCATTGTTGCTTATAGATTAGGTTTGCTTCTCTATGTACTACTCTGGTAGGCAGTGGTTAAATATACTGCTTTAAGCCTTTTCACAGTACCTTCTATAATATCATCATGCACAATTTTAGGCACACAGCAGAAAATCAATGAAACATATTTAATTGACTAAAAATTGAAAAACATTGGTATATATGTAGGACAGATACTGATATTTTTATAAGCCCAACTCTGAAATGGTGATGCATAAAAAGTTGATAATTCCTTTTAGCAGAAACTATTAATAGTCATTTTTCAACATAATGCAAAATATATTTGAGATTGATAAATATTTTAGAACTCAAGTGCAAGAAAGCCATTAAGGGAATCCCACAATTTTTGTTGTTTCTAAAACCTAATATAATTTAAGATTATGAACAGCCTTCTTTCTCAGAAGAAAAACATATCACCAACCCACCACATTAAAAAAATGCATTATTCCAATCAATCTTGTTAATATACCATAGAAATTGAATTTTTTAAAAAAATTCAGAACTTTAAAAATAAATACTAACCATAATAGCTCAATTAAAATTATATCTATATTCTTGGAGGTTTTCAAATGCCATATCTAAAAACAGGATATAGTAAGGTATATCCAGGGATAAACTAGCTGTTAAAAAATAATTGATTGAGACCTGTTATTATTGGCTAAGTAAACTTCTCTTACCTTCCAAAACATGTTCCATTATTTCATAAGATCTAGAAATGATATCAAGTTTGAAATTTGTTGAAATGTTTTCCTATTGACCTACTTATAAATGGGTTATTTACATATTCAGCGTAATTACTTGTGCTTAAAACTGTTTTCAAGATAAATTTGAACTATGTCATTGTTCATATAAAAGAAAGATGCTTCTTTTCAATTAATTTGTATTAGTTAATAATTCTACAAATTGTGTTTATTTCAATGGAGATTAAAGAATATAAAAAGAATAATGTTTCTGTTTTAGACTATACTTTATTAGTAAACCATTTGGGGGGTGGGGCAATGAGGATAAACTCCATCAAAGGAACATAAGTTAGAAAAGCTGTAACATAAACTTAGGTTATAAGTCTGAATTACCCTAGACAGTTAGTCTATGGAATATGAGACTGTATGCAGCCTCAGCTGGAAGCACTGCCCTTAAGCAAAGACCATGAAAGAGATGCTGAAATAATTATTCAGGCAGAAATTTAGTATAATATTTCTTTGGGAATGTTCTCCAATAGTTGGAAGTCAAAATAACAAGTAATTCTCACTTCCATTCTTTGTCTTCTCAATATACATCCCTATATCTTGCAAGGCATTTAGCAAATTAAAGTACATTTACCAGCCTCTTTGCACTTTGATGAGTCAATGTAACTAATTTTTGGACGATAACGTGTGAACAGAAGCAATATTTGCAGCATCTAAAAGAAATGTGTGTGACCTTTTACCCCTGTTACCATGCTTTAGAATTCATAGCTGTTTTCAGCTATTTTGTATATAAAATAAGCATATAAAAGCGACAAAATAAATCAACATCGTAGAGCTATCGTGACATCACTGGACTTCTCCTAAAACTTTTACATGAAAAATATGTGAATTATTTCAAGCTGCTCTACTTGTTTTTCATAGACTCTGTCATTAATTAATTTTTTATGTACCACTAAAAAGCATTTTAAAATGCCTCTAAACTATGGCACACTGCTAAATATTTTCTAGATGCCTCAAAAAAGTTTTTATATGCAGTAATTTTGTTTTACATACACATGCACACTTAACTGATTTCAAGTTTTTTCAACTTTCATATGAAATTGAAAGTTGAAAAGGCACATGAAATGTCTTTTTGAAATTCCTAACTCAATTTAATTTTTTTTTACATTTAGGTTTACCATACTGTTTTAACAAAATGCTCCGTATTTATTCTAATATTTTTAAAACTTTAGGAATAAATTAATATTTTGGATTGTTCTACAGTATTGTATCCTGAACTGGAACTTTTATTACTGATTTATTAATTGAAATATGAAATATGATATGCACATGTGAAAGACACAGATCTTGAGCATATAGCATTAAACATTTTTAGAACGTAAAATACTAATGTCATCACAACCTACATGAATATGAATTGAGTATTACTAGAATCCAGGAGTCTCTATTGTGAACCTCCAATCATTACTATAGGCAACCACTGTTCTTACTTTTATCTTTATAAATTACATTTGCTTGACATTGAACTTCATAGAAATTGAACCATACAATAGATATTAATTTCAATCTGGTTCAAAAAAACACAACCAACAGCGTGGGTGTCAGTGTGATATTCTGTGCTGCTTCTCAGCTGAATCAATGGTGCTGACAGCTGCAATAGCAACAGCAGTGTCTTCAGAAGTTTTACTGAGAGTTTGGAGTCCAGAGTTTCTGCCTAATGGCAGCTGCGCTCAAATAGGGCCAATGGTCAGTCTGGAATCATGGGACCCAGAATGCACCACCTTCCCCTACTCATTTTTCACAGTTAAGGATGGAAGTGGCTTCCTTCATTTGCTCATCATCTGGAGTAGCAGGCCCCTTTTGCTCTTTCAGTGTTTCTAACATTGTTGTAACCACGCCCCCAACCCCTGTATTATATTGTCTATGCTTTAAAAACTATATTGTGGACTTGAATAAAATTTATTTTCCCATTCCCGGTAAAAAATAATTGGGTCATTCTTTACTCATGTATCAATTCAAATTTCTAAGACTCTATTTATCTCTTCTCCTCAATAATGTTTCTTTTTTCTTTTGCTTTTTTTTAGACAGGGTCTTGTGCTCTCACCCAGGCTGGAGTGCAGTGGCTGGAACACAGCTCACTACAGCCTTGACCTCTTGAATTCAAGTGATCCTCACACTTCAGCCTCCAGAGTAGCTTTGATGACAGGTGTGTGCCACCAGGCCCAGCTACTTTTCTTTACTTTTTGTAGAGACATGGTCTTGCCATATTACCCAGGCTAGTCTCAGATCCCTGGGCTCAAGTATCCTCCTGCCTCCAACTCCCAAAGTGCTGGGATTATAGGCATAAGCCACCATGCCCAGCTAATGTTTTCTATTTACCATAGCTTTTCACATATATATGTTATTATATATGTAATATACATATATAATATAGTATGGATGTGTATATACTATATTATTAACAATTAGATCTAAAATATAGAAAGAATTTTAATACCTTTATTTTCTGTACCTTCATAGTTAATCTCATATTTTCCAAATCTGTTAATGTGGCACTGGTCAGTTATAGCTCCAAAGAATGAGCATCCACTTAATCTCATAACCAGGACCCAACCTGCAACATTAGTATTACAAATTAATTCCTAATTCCAGTCTCACTCTTTCATCACCAGTTCTATCTTTGCACACTTACTAATCCCAATTATTTTAAAGCAAGTTGCTTAACCTGCTGTGGCAGTTTTCCCCTCTCCTTCAACTTTCTCTCCCTTTTTTTTTCTCCTAATAATACCTGCCAAGTAAGAATCCCTTTCATTACATACATCAAATAGCCACTTCTTCCAACAATTTTATTCAACCTAAGTATTCAACCTAAGGGCTTAGATTCATGGTCTGTCCTTACAATGCCGTTCCATCTTTTTAAAGCTAATTGCAATGCACCTAGTCATTTTTATTGCAGCACTATGTATGATAGCCAAGATACAGAATAAGCCTAAGTGTCTGGCAACAGATGAATGCAAAAAGAAAATGCACTATCTGTATACAATGAAGTACTCTTTAGCCATAAAAAATAAAATCTTGCCATTTATGACAATATGGATGAATCTAGAGGACATCATGGTAAGTGAAATAAGCCAGACACAGACAGACAAGTACAGCATGATCTCACTCATAAGTGGAGTCTAAAAAAAAAAGAAAATACAAACATTTAAAAAAGTTAATAGCATAGAAGCAGAGAGTAGAAAAATGTTACCAGAGACTAAAGACAGGAGGACGAAAAGAAGGATGAGGAAACTTTGATTGGTGGTATAAAATTACAACTAGATAAGAGCAAAAAATTCTGGTGTTGTGTTGCACGTAGAGTAAGTATGGTTAACAGTGAAATATCGTATATTACAAAATAGCTTGAAGAGTTGTCTTCGAATGTTCTCACCACAAAGAAATGATAAATATGTAAGATAATAGATTCACTCTGAATGGATCATTATACAACATGGATAGGTATCCAGGTATGAAATTATACCCCATGAATATGTACAATTATTACATGTCAATTAATAAATAAATAATAAGATCACTAGATTTAATCGAGACTCTTATTGACTTGCTCTCATTTTAGAGTTTTAAAACTAGTCTGCCCTATTGCAAACTACCTATTTTTAAAACTACTCTTCTCCTGCACAAAAATTTCTCAAAGTCTCCTTTCTCCTGAAAGAAAAATGACCTATTTAATTTACAAATATTTCAAAAATTAGTACACAACATTTTATATATGAAAAGAATGCTGTAGACTGACTTGCAAATAACATTCTAAGATTCCCATTACCTTTAAGAGGAGTCAGCTGTCATTTTGGAAAAATTAAGATTTCAACAATTTTACACATATTTTGAAAATAATTTTGATAATGAAAAATGTTCAATCTTAAATCGTGTAAATAAGTAAATAGAGAGGTAAAATAAAGAGCTTGATGTTTATGTGATATTGAGAAAAAATCTTTTTTAAAAGTAAAATACAGATTAAAATACAACTTTGTGCTTTAACTGAAGGGTGTCCCTACTCCCTGATGTGTTTGAGACTGTCACAAACCTGAACCCATTTGGACAATACATCAAATAATCATTTTGCATCATTTCACTATTGGGGAAATGATAACTTCTTACATTAAATGAAAAAAAACTGAAAAAGTAGTATTACTTTGTCTTTTAAGTGGCAAGATAGGGTTGATATGATGCCGAAGTACAAACAGTAGGGACTAAGTGAGGATGGAGGATATATGAATAAATGTATCAAAAGTCAAGAGAAATGATAAAACAGACAATTCTGGGGAACAGTAGTAGAAGCTATGCATGGAATATGGTTAGACAGACAGTGATATTTACTTTTGAGTTTTGCTTATATATTTCTAACATTTCTTGATAGGACTGGCATTCTAACAGTTATTCTTATTGTTATAAATTCTTTTAAAAATACTTTTTCTCCAAACATCTCAGTTCAAATTATAGAGTTAAAGGAAACTATAGTAATAAAATAAAATATTAATTATTTCAAAAGAAAAAGAGAAAAATTTGTACACTTAATTTAAAATTGTTTTCAGTCTTATTTTTGCAAGCAATTTACCAATAGATTTGTAATGCACAGTAATGTTGAATGAGTATTGAAGCTATTGAAATACAGAAGTAAGTCAGTTTTTCATTATGCTGTGAGTGATGTCCTGAAACACATTAACTTGATATTTTATCTATTGTTTAATATCATTCCCCATGAATTACATATAATGGTAATAGATTAATATCTTTGGGAGTACTGTAAATAATTATATAATTCAGCCAGGAATTACCTTGTTCATTTGCTAACATTGTTATATTCTTTCAAAAGCAAATAGCAAAAATAATTTTCAACTGACATACATATGGAATACTTACTCTTCAACTATCTCAAAATGCCCAGATTTTCTCCATAACTTTCCTATTGATTTAATTATAGGCATTAGAAATGAGTATTCTAGTACAAGAATAAATAGTGTTGTCTCTCCTTCATCCCCCAGTACTCCTAAATATTTACTAAAAATCTCAATGCTAATCAATAGTGGAAGTATTTGGTGCCTAATGATGGCATTCCATTCCTTCCTTGAAGTCCAACACACAGAGTAATAGAAATCTCATGAATGTGATTGTGTGAGGTTGCTCATAATACTTGGATCTATAGAGAGAATCACTTAACAGACATTAGCTGAATCAGAAACTACTTCTCATTTCATTGAGTTCTATGTAGTCCCCAACCTTTGTGGCACCAGGGACTGGTTTTGTGGAAGACAATATTTCCACGGACAGGGGAGCAGAGGATGGTTTCAGGATTGTAATGGTTAATAATAGGTGTCAACTTAATTGGATTGAAGGATGCCTAGATAATTGGTAAAGAATAGTTTCTGGGTGTGTCAGTGAGGGTGTTGCTGGAGGAGATTAACATTTGAGTCGGACTGGGAGAGGAAGACCGATCTTCAATGTGGGTGGACACCATCCAATTGACTGTCAGCTTGGCTAGAACAAAGCTGGTGGAAGAAGGTGGGATAAGCTGACTTAATGAGTCTTCTGGCTTTCATCATTGCGCTGTGCTGGATGCTTCCTGCCCTTGGACATCAGATTCCAGGTTCTTTAGGCTTTGAACACTTGAACTTACAGCAGTGGTTTTCCAGGGGCTTTCAGGCCCTTGGCCACAGACTAAATGTTGCACTGCCAGCTTTCCTACTTTTGAGGCTTTTGTAGCTGAACTAAGCCTTTGTTGGCTTCCTTGCCCCTCAGCTTGCAGACAGCCTATCATGGGACTTCACCTTGTGATCATATAGTCAATTCTCATTAATAAACTCCTTTTCATATATACATATATCTTATAAGTTCTGTCCCTCTGGAGAACCCTGACTAATACAGGCATGAAACTGTTCCACCTCAGATCATCGGGCATTAGATTCTCATGAGGTATGCACAACCTAGATCCCTTGCATGCTCAGTTCATAATAGGGTTCACATTCCTATAAGAATCTAATGCTGTAGCTGATTCGACAGGAGGCAGAGCTCAGGTGGTAATGCTCACTCACCTGCCGCTCACCTCCTGCTGTATGATCTGATTCCTAACAAGCCATAGCTCATAACCAAGGGTTGAGGACCACTGTGTTAAAAGATAAACTAAGACACAATAAAATTTTAAATATGTTATTTACACAATGATTTATGACTCAGGCAGCTCCAAACCATAAAAGTGGCTTAAGAGCACCACTGAGGGATCACAGGGGGAGGCTTTTAGAGGACAGGCACAGAAGAAAACTAAAGATAATATTTGACTATTTATAGTTGTACAGTTATTTGTACCTTATTTGGTACCAAAGTTGTACGTTATTAGGTCTATCCCACTGGAAAGTCTTCAGTTGTATGATTATGTGTGTTGGCTACTTCTGATTGGTTGAACTTAAGTTCTGTTTTTCTTTAATATAGAAATTGATAATAGCTCAAGTTTCCCTTATATCTGTAGATCAAACAAGGTTTAGATCACTTATGATGCCTAACTGGTTTTGTCTGCTCAGAAATTCTTCAGGCCTGGACTCCATTTTAATTTACTTTAATGATTGTTACTTTAAATTTGGATTAAACAGTGGATTCATATGTACTGAGTGAAAAAAAAATGGAAATAGATGTTATAAAATTTATTTGAAATCATTCAGCCAGGATGTTTTAAACAGCATAAATTAGCAGAATTACCAAAAACACATTTTGAAAAAACCTTGAAGCAATTTTAATGTATTGCAAAATGTGAAGGAGACTAGTAGGACAAAAACTTAAAGGTTGAGTTTGAGATACGATGCAGGGTTTTTTGCTCCTTAGCCCAGCTAGGCCTAAGTTCTGAAGAAGTAGGCACATGGACGCTCAAAGAGTAAGTGTAGTAGAATTTATTTAGTGAAAGGAAAGCTCTCAGCAAAGAGAGGGGTCCTGACATCAAGTTCTTGGTTGCCCCCTTAACAGTTGAATACAAGGGCATTTTTTTTCTTGAGACAGAGCCTCACTCTGTTGCCAAGGCTGGAGTGCAATGGCGTGATCTTGGCTCACTATACCCTCTGCCTTCCAGGTTCAAGTGATTCTCCTGCCTCAGCCTCCTGAGTAGCTGGGATTATTGGCACATGTCACCAGGCCCGGATAATTTTTGTAGTTTTAGTAGAGATGGGATTTACCATGTTGGTCAGGCTGGTCTCCAACTCCTGCTCTAGTGATCTGCCCGCCTCTGCCTCCCGAAGTGTTCGGATTACAGGTGTGAGCTACTGCACCCGGCAACAAGGACATTTTTATACAAGCTGATAGGGCTGTGAATTCCTGGTTGTATGAGACATGAATTCCTGGTTGCTCCACTCCACCTTTCCAGTGAGTTATGTGGGCCCTTAGTCTGTGCCTCTCCATATTGATTTATTTCCTTTAATGCACATATGTTAAGGAACGAAATTTTCCACTATGGGCATGTTTAGGCAAGCTCCCTTAGCAAGTACGCTTATCCGCACAAAATATTTGGTATAAACACCTGGGGGGTGGGTAAGAGGTTCTCCAGGGGACCCTTTCCTGACTGTCTCCCTAAAGCAAGTTGGCTGACTCCTTTCATTCCTCCCTTCAGGAGTGGAGACCCCAAATTCTGTTGGGGAAAGTGTACAACGACTGCTCTTAACTGCTTCCTGCTGACAAGGGGTGCTGTTTTGGGAAAGTGGCAGTTAAGGCTCCTCCTGAGGTCAGTTTAAGGGTCCCCAAAGAGAACGGTGTGTTCATGAGTGGTTCTGTTTGCATCACCATTTGATGTTGAACGGCCTTTAAGTGAGAAGAAACAATTTGGGTTATTAGAAGACATATTCAAAATGAAACAAAGGGATAAGGACAGCTCAAAACAAAACAAAACAAAACAAAATCTCAAGGCTGCCAATACAGCCAGATAACTCGTGGCTATAGTTATGCCTGCTAAGGTTTGTATTCATGGGGCTTGGCTTTGATTAGCTCCCTTGGTCTTATTTTCCCAAACAAAGAAATCTCTGGGTTATGGGCACCTATTTACTCCGATCACCTGGAAGGATTTGCAGGATAATTGTTCAGAATTAAAATATTGATCCAGATTTTTTATATTACTCGTCCCTTTGGTTCTTTTGAGCTGCAGCCGTACATTGCTGGTTGGTCCACAGGAACAAGCAGGGTAGTCTAAAATGTAGGCAAAAACTTAAAAACAACTAATGGGATTATAATGTAATGACAAATGTAGAATACGTTTTGAAACATAATTTCTCTCTCTCCAGTCCTCATTTTTGTCAAAAACAAATCATGATAGGACTCAGTTGTTTGAAAAAATAAACTTTAGCCTTATACTTGTCTTATTTGCATAAAGTGCAAAAAGAATAATTATTTTTCCCATAGGCTTTTAAATTGGCTTTGATGGAACTCTGTTCCATAAGGCATCTCAGTTAAGACCTTTTAAGGCCAAGCCCAGCCAAGGGTTTCCACCCTCAAATATCTACAAGTTTGGTAAATCATTCTCTTCTTGATGTCCCAAGAACAAGCTTTTTAACAGGCTCCTAAGCCTGTTAAAAAGTGACATGCTTTACTCCCCATGGGTTAGGAACCTTGTACAAGGACTGTGTTGACAAGGTATGTAGCCAGTTTTCCCAAGGGACTTTTATTGGCAAGTCCAGCTTAATGACTTAAAGGAACATATACCCTTCCAGTAAAAGCCTTGGTAAAACCCCCAGTTTCTTCAATTGTGTCCTGTTGCAAAAGAAAATGTATTCTTATTGCACTGATGAAAATAACTGAATTGCCATAAATTAAATATTCTCACAAATAGTTTCCAAATTCTGGCAAAGCCAGGCAGAGAGAAACAAACATCCTTCAAATTTTGTTCACAGGCGTATAGTTTACTCAATTATTAAAGGTTTTAAATAGGTCAAAATAAGTATCCTTGACTCAGAAAAATAAAGCAAGGATCACCAAAGTTTTAAGCAAAAAGGTTAAAAATAATACTTGTTTTCTATTAGTTCAATCCATTCTGTTCTCTTGTTCTGCTTGATATTCATGAACATTTCAGTTCTTCATGAGTACTGTATTTTTTTCAATGTCATAATCTCCAGAGTTAATGGAATCTTGCATTTGAGAACACTTGTCAAAATCCTATAGCTGATTATAAATCATCTTTTGAGTAGGATCAAAACAAGACATTTGTCTGTGAATGATGAAATGTCCAGGGTAGTTACTGTCAAGAATACAATTGACAAAGAAATTTAGTTATTTCTAGGGTTTACAATAACTAAACATAATAACCTTAATTATGATTGATAGCATATACTCAGACATTAGAATTTTAGAAATCTCATATAATTTTGAAACATATTAATATTATTCACTAAAATATAACCTAAAGCAGATTAAATACAACTTTGGAAATACCATATAACTAAACATTTCAAAAAACCCAGTTTTCTTCTGTTTTGGATGTTCCAGGGACCAGGAAAGACAATTTTAAAACTGAAGTTTGATTTTGGGAAGACTGTTAATTACGTTAGAGGTTCAAAGCACTTGATACTATAAAATAGAATTCCAAGTTACCACATGTCATTTATTTTAGCCAAAATGATGACTCAAACATTTTAAAACAACGCAAAAGCATATTCACAGGAAGAGGGAAAATTTAGCTTTCCAAACAATCTGTCGTTAATTTTACAGGGAAATGCTGTTCAAGTGAAAGCCTAATTTCATCCTTGCATTAGTCTACTGTTGATGTCAACCCTAATTTTTTTAATGAAAACTTATAGATAATTATATCTAATCTTATCTAGTTTGACCATGAGGTGAGATTTTTTTTAAACTTTTATAACCCTTTACAAATTGTTGTTAAAGAGCAGGTCAGCGCCTTTAGAAAACCTTGTTGTGCTTTTATTTCAATGCTCAATTTACAAAAACAAAATACTTTTTTGAAATTAGCCAATATGTTCACACAATTTCTTTTGCAAGATTAAGTTTTACAAACTTTTCACCATTTGTTTAAACCTTCAGCTTTATCTTATCTAATTCAAAACAATCCTTTAACCCAAGGCAAAAATTTACATTTTCATGCATTCTTATAATCTTTTACTAAAAACATATTTTACTTTCCTTACTTACCTTATATGTAAATCTATTTTCATTGTCTCGATTACAGATTATTATGGTAACTCCTAGCAATTTTTAACTTTAATGTAAAACCTGGCAAGTTGCTTTAATTATGTAGTAGGCATAAATAAAGTCTGATTCCTTCCTGCATAATTAAGGGTGTGGTTAATTCCATATGTCCCTGGACTTATTAATTGTGAAGCAGGCAAATTGAATAGTGTATTAGTCAATTTTCATGCTGCAGATAAAGACAATCTTGAGACTGGGCAATTTACAAAAGAAAGAGGTTTAATTGGACTTACAGTTCCACATGGCTGAGGAGGCCTCACAATCATAGCAGAAGGCAAGGGGGAGCAAGTGACATCTTATGTGGATGGTGGCAAACCAAAAAAGAGAGCTTGTGCAGAGAAACTCTCATTTTTAAAACCATCAGATCCATGAAACCCATTACTATCATGCGAACAGCATAAAAAGACCCACCCTCATGATTCAATCATCTCCCACTGGGTCCCTGCCACAACACATGGAAATTACGGGAGCTACAAGATGAGATTTGGGTGGAGACACAGAGCCAAACTTCATCAAATAGTTCTTAAAAGCCAAAGAAGCAGTTAATAACTTTGAAGCATTTAGCTAACCTAGCATTTGACCTACATGATTCAGCCCACATATTTACATTTTAAAGACATTTGTATTTTACCAATTATTTTTAAAACAGCCTTTATTTCTTAAAGATTATAGTCATGTGAACTGAAAAGGTATTACAGCTTTTATTTTTCTTCAAAAAATATTTGATCTAAGTGCTTATTTTCCTAGAGCTTTTTTATATAAACATCACGCCCATAAGAAATATAAAATTACACAGATGAACAAAAGCAAATTCAGTACTTGTAAGATTTTTCATTTGCCAATCTTCTGAATAGATTATTGGCCTCTGGGTGAAGCCCTTCAAGAGCAGGGTCTAGGACAGCATACAGTTTCTAGGGCCTAATAAACAGGCATAGCTGGAAGACAGAGACAGATTTTGAGAAGGATCTATCCACTTTTAATTCCTGGAGTTTCGTGAGGAAAACAGAGGGTGTTTTTTCCCCAAAATGGGGTCTGCGGCACCTTCTTTGTTTTTTCCCAGGAGCCCCGGGCTATCAGAAGTTATCTTAGAGCCTCTCATGTATGCACTGAATGACAAGACAAAATGGGAAAAAAAAAATCATTCAACAGAGAAAGAACCTTTTTCCAGAAAAACAAGATCCATGCAGAGAAAAATTTAAAGGCCTTTAAATATACCTATAACTTGGATATCCACTTTGAATTCAGCTGTGCTCTAAGAAAATCGTTTCATATCTATTACCCAACTTTAGCCATGCCGAGCAGCCAATATTTCTGGCTTTTGAACTTTATTAAAAATAACCTCACAGGTGAAACCAACAAGCCTCAACTAAGGTTATGACTTAACTGTAAGTGTAAAAGTTATTTTCAAAGAGGTGCTAAGCAGTTTTTACAGAATCTAAGATCTTTAAAGTTGGTTCAGACAAAGGAAGATTTAAGAAAGGAAGCTAAAGTTGTTTATAGAGGGGAAGAGAATCAGCAAATGGTAAAAGTCACACAGATATTGGCCAAAATATACTCATTCCCTAAGCCGGGATTAAACCCAGGCCACCATTGTAAAATGGCAGAGGCCAAAAGAAAGTATTATCAAGTGGTTACAAGGTCAAGCTCCTAAGGACAAAAAACAAGATGAAGAACTGCAGCAAGGTTTGTTACTGACCAGTTTGCCAGGCTGGTTTGATCAGCAAACTTTTGGGGTCCTAGGCCTGCATTCTATCCTAAGGTACCCCTCTTTATGACAGAACTATACAGAAAGACACACAAAGCACACTACATTGGCTACAGCTTAAGACTAGCCTCATAAATCCTTTTTTTCTATTTATCAGAACTTCAGAGAGTATATAAACAGTGATTTAAACAGGGATTTTATCATTTATTCAACTGGTTTGCACAGGGAGAAGGAGGCCAGAAGTCTGACTGGTAAGAACTATTTTTTTTTTTTTTTTTTTTTTTTTTTGAGACAGAGTCTCCCTCTGTCCCCAGGCTGGAGTGCAGTGGTGTGATCTCCGCTCACTGCAAGCTCCATCTCCCAGGTTCACGCCATTCTCCTGCCTCAGCCTCCGGAGTAGCTGGGACTACAGGTGCCCGCTACCACGCCCGGCTAATTTTTTGTTGTTGTTGTCGTTGTTATTTTTAGTAGAGATGGGGTTTCACCGTGTCAGCCAGGATGGTCTCCATCTCCCGACCTCATGATCCGCCTGCCTTGGCCTCCCAAAATGCTGGGATTACAGGCGTGAGCCACTGCACCCGGCCCTGGTAAGAACTTTTACCCTTTTGCTGGTGTACCAGGCTTCTGAGTTGCCCTTTTTCATGCTCAGTTTTGAGCCAAGCAGTTTAAGGTTTGGAGAAATTAACTTTTCCCAGTTTAAGAGATGCATCCAAAGGGAGTGTCCTGTGGTACAGCGACACAATGACCCACCCACAAAGAGAGGACAGAGGAGGAAAAAGGAGAAAGGAGGTGTTTTTCCAGAAGAGTCCTAGTGATTCAGGAGGCAATCAAGAGAAATATGGGCTGCAGATGATTGGTTACTCACCTAAGAAGAGGGGAGCAAGGCATCCCTAGTTTCTTCTTTTTCCTAGTAAATACCTGAGGTACATGAGGGAGAGGAGAAAAGTGTCCTCTTTCTTTCTTCTGTTCTTATATCCCTGAGTCCTGGTGATCTTGGCAGGTTACCACCCATGGGTGCCAGTGCAGCTTTCACCTATGTTAACAGGGGGCTTACAGGGTGCGAGTTATCCACCATTACCCATGCGCTGCTTGTCCCACTGTTGTCGATAACTTTTGAGTTCTCTGGATTTCATACATGCCGTGGATACTAGAATGACCTCTATCCACGAGATGGAAGGGGGCCTAATCGGCAGCAATGAGTCATGCTAACCTAAAGCTTTGGAGCTGGGTCTTCCTTAAACAAGGGAGAGAAAAGGCTGTCTTGGGAATTGGGGTCCTGGCCTAATAAGAAAAAACAAAAACAAAAACCAACAAAAAACCTCTCATAAAAGTTAACTCCTTACAAAGTGGAGAAAAGAAAAAAAAATAAAATAAAACAGCTTAAGTGCAGGGTGGGGAAGATGCCTGGAGGAGAAACCTTTTATTCTTATGCAAATGAGTTCCTCCAATAGGGAGAGAACATTTTAATTGCTGTCTCCTCCTTTCTGGCTCAGCCAGGGGAGGAAAGACACTGTGGGTGCATGGGGAGAGGGAAGAGTGAGCAGGAAAAGCTGGCCACCTAGCCAAGTGGGGCCCTTGGGCTATGTGCCCCAGACGGGAGGGGAGGGGGTTGGGAGTTGCCACTCTCCCATTTGTCTCACATGTGTACCTGTGGCCATTGGAGGTTGGGGTAAGGGACATGTCTCTAAAAACGGAGGGAGAGCACATTGTTCTGAATTGTATAGAATTTATTAAGTTAAAGGAAAGCTCTCAGCAAAGAGAGGAGTCCTGAAAGTAGGTTCCCGGTTGCCCTCTTCACAGGTGAATCAAAGGCATTTTTATATAAGCTGATGGGGCTGAGTTCCCTATTTGTATAAGGCGTGAATTCCTGTAGGCTCCACTGCATCCTTCCAGAGTGCATGCAGACCCTTAGTCTGAGACATTCCATATTGATTTATTTTTCTTACTGCCCACGTGTTAAGAAACAAAATTTTCCACTGCGGGCATGTTTAGGCAAGCCCCCGGAGCAAGTACCCTTATGTGCACAAAACATCTGGTATAAACACTTGTGGAGCAGATAGGAGGTTCTCTGGGGGACCCTTCCCTTAGTGTCTGCCTAAAGCAAGCTGGCTAACTTTTCAGAAAGAGACAGAGAAAATGAAGTAGCTACCAAAGTATTCTGGGTCTACAAGTGATATTATTTTCAACAAGTATTCAAATGCCATTCTAGTCTAAACTAATTCATTATAAATCAGCTAATATTAAGTAAATATTTTACAAATTAAAAACTAGTTACAAAAGGTAGAGACCTCAAAGAAAGGCAGAAATGAGGCAAATGGGGAAAAATTATGGTGACTTAAAGCCTATATATTGTGATCTGGAGAATTAGAATTTAATTTGTCTATACAAAGTAGGTCATGATCCTGATAAGTTTAGCAATTAGAGTATTTATAAAAAGTAAGAGCTAAATAATTTGTTTCAGGGATGCACTTTTATTTCAATTATCTAGACCTGAAATTATATTTTTTTGAGATCGTTCAGGAAGAAGAAATTACATGAGGAGAACTTTCTAATCAGTATGCTTAGTGTAAATATATCTGATGAGTTCATAAGTCTGTTTCATTTATTATTCTTCAGTATAGGTCTGTAGCATGACACAAACAATTCCTGATGACTTCAGCTACCTTTTTAAGGAAGGTAGACTTGCTCCATCCCCTATCTTCTATTTTGCATCTGAAAGAGGATCATACTCCTGTTTAAGTCAACTTTATTAATGTTTTTCAAAATATTTCTTCTCTTGCCAATATAAAATAATGAAATTGTAGTAAAATGGGGATTGTCTTCCTCAAGATGAGTAATTTTTCATGAACAATTTATTTAATTATTTCAATAATTATTCAAAAATGATTTCAAATTATTTCAACAATTTATCTTATGAACATTTATTTCATTATTTATTCACACCATCAAATAATATTTTACATTGAGTCCAAATTTTTTGCATTGCTGTTCATGTCAGGTTTATATTGGAATTAATTCTCTATGACCTCCTTTTTAAGCACTGCTAAATAGATAGTAATCTTTCTTTCTATAACAGTTGAGTTTAAATTGCTTTTCTTAATTTTCTCTGACAGAGAACATTATTTTTTATTGTTGTAAACAAGCTATATTCTACATATTTAATTATTTGGAATTTGATTTGTGTATATTTTTCAGTGGAAGCTAACTTCTTCCTAATGTCTCCATCTACATTTCATATTTATTCATCCATTCACATATTCAACAAAATTTGAGAATCTGTTTTTGGGCTTTTAATACTCATCTTATTCATTTTACTATTTATGTTTTTATTTCTTTATTTATTTAGAAACTGGTTCTCACTTAGTTGCCCACGTTAGAGTGTAGTGATGCCATCATAGCTCATGGCAGCCTCAAACTCCTGGGCTCAAGTTTGTTAATTTTATTTTAAATGTCCACACAGTGTTCTCAGTCAGAAACAGATTTCTTAATAATGTGTGTTGGCTGCTCCTTTTCCCAGTTCTTATCTTTGGACAGTATAAAGAGATCCAGATCATCCTAGTGAGAGGCCAGACTCTCTGAAAGCAAGAAGTTAAGAACAATGGTTTTTTTCCTTGTCTTTGTTTTTATACTTATAATAGGACGGAAACGGCTGTTTTTCTGTCCTTCTAAGAGGATATCTTCTTTATTCCAAACTTTTGGAATGTTGTAAAATCTCTCCTGGAACCAAATAACCCTGTATCTCCAAGTTTTTATGACCTATAGCTGTCTCCAAATTCTGGAACATCATATCTTTTGACATATGAATACAAAAACCTAGTCTTCCTCTTACCCTAGTACTTAACCTAGGAACCTAGTAATCTAAGGATTTTAAAAATTTGACCCTCTTAGGGGAGTAAAAGAAGTTTTCCTATTGTTGCAAATCAGAGAAATTAACTGGACAAAGGGCTACAGATCTAATTCTCTCAGTGTGTGAAGAGTCTCAAGAAGCTAGTGCTTTGAGAGAATCCATGAGAAACCCAGGGACCTTTAATATCTCCTCATTATTATTTGCATAGCACACTACCAGGGGAGATGGAGAATTAAAATAATAATATATTTTAATAACTTTAAGTTCTCTTAAATCATATGGTTTTTTAAGGATAAAAAAAAATCCTGGATATCTATGGCTATACTTAGACATATGTAATATACATATATAACACAATAACTTTTGGGGAACAAGTGGTTTTTGGTTACAGAGTGGTAAAGTCTGAGATTTTGGTGCCCTTGTCACCCAAGTAGTGTACATTGTACCCAATATGTAGTGTTTTATCCCTCACCCACCTCCTACTCTCCCCCTTAGTGGTCTCCAATGTCCATTATACCACTCTGTATGCATACCCATGGCTTAGCTACCACTTAAAAGTGAGAATATATGATATTTGGTTTTCCATTCCTGAGTTACTTCACTTAGAATAATGGCCTCCAGCTCCAGTTGGAGTTGCTGCAAATGACATTATTTCATTCTTTTTAGGGCTGAGTAGTATGTCATGGTGTATGTTTACCACATTTCTTTATCCACTCATTGGTTGAGGAGCACTTAGGTTGGTTCTGTATCTTTGTAATTGTGAATTGTACTGCAATAAACATATACATGCAGGTGTATTTTTGATACAATGACTTTTTTTAATTTGAGTAGTTAACCAGTAGTGGGATTGATGGACTGAATGCTAGATCTACTTTTAGTTATTTCAAAAATCTCCATAATGCTTTACATAAAGGATGTACTAATTTACATTCCCACCAGCAATGTATAAGCATGCCCTTTTCACCACATTCATGCCAAAATCTGTTTCTTTGTTTTTTTTGACTTTTTAATAATGGCTATTATGCTGGGAAAAGATGGTATCTCACTGTGGTTTTAATTTGCATTTCTTTGATGATTAGTGACATTGAGAATTTTTTATATGTTTGTTGGTCATTTGTATATCTTCTTTTGAGAAATGTCTATTCATGTAATTTTTTTTCACTTTCTGTTGGGATTATTTTTTCTTGCTGATTTGTTTTCCTTGTTAATTCTAGATATTAATTATTTGCTAGATGCATACTTTGTAAACATTTTCTTCTATTCTCTGAGTTATCTGTTTACTGTGATGATTATTTCTTTTGCTGTGAAGGTTTTTAGTTTACTTATGTCCTTTTTATTTATTTTTGCTTTTGTTGCATTTACTTTTGGAGTCTTAGTCATAAAGTTTTGGCTTAGGTAAATATCCAGATGTGTTTTTCTTAGTTTTTTTCCAGAATTTTTATGGTTTTGGGTTTTATATTTAAGTCTGATCCATCTTCTAATTTTTGTAGATGGTGAGAAAGAGTGATCCAGTTTCATTCTTCTACATGTGGCTGTCTTGTTTTCCCTGCATCATTTATTGAATAGGGTGTCCTTTCCTATTTATGTTTTTGAATGCTTTGTGGAGGATCAGTTGGTTGTATACATTTGGCTTTATTTCTGGTTTCTCTATTCCTTTCCTTTGGTTTATTTATCTACCTTTATACCAGTACCATGCATGCTGTTTTGATTACTAAAACCTTGTATTATAACTTGAAGTCTCTTAAAACTATGCCTCTGGATTTGTTCTTTTTGCTTAGAGTTGCTTTTTTAATTCAAGCTTATTTCTGGTTTCATAAGAATTTAGAATTGCTTTCTCTAATTCTATGAAAAATGATGTCAGTATTTTGATAGGAAGTGCATTGAATCTGTAGATTGCTTTTAGCAGTAAGGTCATTTTCACAAATATGATTCTTCTTATCCATGAGCATGGGATGTATTTCCATTTGTTTATATCATCTCTAATTTATTTCAGCAGTTTTTGTAGCTCTCCTTATGGAGATCTTTCACTTATTTGGTTAAGTGTATTTCAATTTTTTTTCTGCTGCTATTGTAAAAGAAATTGAGTTCTTGATTTGATTCTCAGCTTGATCATTGTTGGTGCTATGCAGTAGTACTAATTTGTGTACATTCATTTTGTAACCTAAGATTTTATGAATTCATTCATCAAATAGAAGAGTCTTTTGGTGGAATTCTTAGGCTTATCTAAGTATATGCTTAAATCATCAGCAAACAGAGATAATTTGTCTTCCTCTTTTCCAGCTTGGATGCCCTTTATTTCTTCCTCTTGCTTGATTGCTCTGGGTAGGACTTCCAGTACTATGTTAAGTAGAAGTGGTGAAAATGGGCATCCTTAACTTGTTCTAGCCCTCAGTGGGAAGACTTTCAACTTTTCCCCATTCAATATGATGTTGGCCATGGGTTTGTCATATATAGCTTTTATTATTTTGAGATATGTTTATTCTATGTCTAGTTTGTTTAGGGTTTTTATCATAAAGCAATGCTGGATTTTACTGAATGTTTTTATGCATCTATTGAGATGATCATACGTATTTGGTTTTTAATTCTGTTTATAAAATACATCACATTTATTACCTTGCGTATGTTGAGTCATCCTTGCCTCCCTGGGATGAGACTCACTTGATTATAGTGAATTGTCTTTTTGATATGCTTTTGGATTTGATTTGCCAGTATCTGTTAAGAATTTTTGCGTATGTCTTTATCAGAGATGTTCATTTGTAGTTTTCTTTTTTTATGATATGCCTTTTTCTGGTTTTGGTATCAGGGTGATACTGGCTTCATAGAATGAGTTAAGGAGGATTCCCTTTTTCTCAGTCTTTTAGAGTAGTTTCAGTAGGCTTGGTACCAGTTCTTCTTTGAATGTCTGATAGAATTTGGCTGTGATCTGTCTGGGTTTTTTAGTCGGCATTTTTTTTTTCTTACTTATACAATCTCACTGCTTGTTATTGGTCTGTAAGGATACCTATTTCTTCCTGGTTTAAGCTGGTAGGGTTGTATGTTTCCTGGAATCTATCTATTTTCTTTACTTTTATTTTTATGTGCATAGAGGTTACATAGTAGTCTCAAATGATCTTTTATATTTCTGTGATATTGGTTAAAATGTTTCCATTTTCATTTCTAATTGAGCTAATTTAAACTTCTATCTTCTTAATTGTTCTAACTAATGTTCTAACTAATTGTTAGAACAATTGTTAATCGTTCTAATTGTTAGAACAATTGTTAATCATTCTAATTGTTAGAACAATTGTTAATTGTTCTAACAATCTTAATTCTTCTAACTAATGATCTATTTTATTTCTATTTTCAAATAACCAAATTTTGTTTCATTAAACTTTTGTATTTTTATTTCAATTTCATTTAGTTCTGCTGTAATCTTTCTTTTCTTCTCCTGGCTTTAAGTTTGATTTGTTGTTTCTATAGTTTCTTGAGGTATGACATTATGTTGCGAATTTGTAATCTTTCAGACTTTTTTACGTAGGTGTTCAGTGCTAGAAACTTTCCTTTTAGCATTGCTTTTGCTATGTCCCAGAGGTTTTGATAACTTGTGTCACTATAATCATCCATTTAAAGAATTTTTTAATTTCTTTCTTCATTTCATTGTTAACCCAGTAATCATTAAGAAGCAGATTGTTCAATTTCCAGGTAATTGTATAGTTTTAAGGGTTCCTTTTGGAGCTCATTTCTAGTTTTATTTCACTGTGACCTGAGAAGATACTTTATATAATTTTGACTTTTTAAAATTTATTGAGATTTGTTTTTGTGGCCTATCCTATGGTCTGTCTTGGAGGCTGTTCTATGTGTTGATGAGAAGAATGTGAATTCTGCGGTTTTTGGGTACAATGTTCTGTAAACGTCTGTTAGGTCCATTTCTTCTGGACTGCAACTTAAGTCCAGTGTTTTTTTGTTTTTGTTGTTGTTGACTTCCTGCTTCAGTGATCTGTCTAGTGCTGTCAGTGGAGTGTTAGAGTTCCTCACTATTATTGTGTTGCTGTCTATTCCTTTTCTTAGGTCTAGTAGTAATTGTTTTATAAATGTAGGAGCTCCAGTGTTATGTGCATACTTATGTAGAATTATTATATTTTGTTGAATTAATTATTTAATTATTATGTAATGACTTTCTTTGGTTTTTTTTTTTACTATTGTTGCTTTAAAGTCTACTTTATCTGATATAACTACACCTGCTTGCTTTTGGTTTCCATTTGCATTGAATATCTTTCTCCACCCCCTTACCTTGAGTCTATGAGAATCTTTGTATGTTAGGTTCTGATGCAGCTCAACATTTTGTTTCAAGATTTAGCATTTCTTGTAGGACTGGTCTGATAGGGACAGATTCCCTCAGCATTTGCTTGTCTGAGGAAGACATTATTTCTCTTTCATTTATGAGACTCAGTTTTGCTGGATACAAAATTTTTGACTAATAGTTATTTTGTCTAAGGATATTAAAGATAAGCCTAAAGATACAGTGAACTTCTGGCCTGTAAGATTTCTGCTGAGAAGTCTGCTGTTAGTCTAATAGGTTTTCCTTTATAGGTTACTTGTTGCTTTTGTCTCACTGTTCTTAGAATTCATTTCTTCATGTTGACTTTAGATAGCTTGATTACTATATGGCTTTGTAATGTCAGTTTTGCAGTGAACCTCCCCAGAGCTCATTGAGTTTCTTGTATTTGGACATCTAAATATCTAGCAAGGCTAGCAAAGTTTTCTTCAATTATGCCCTCAAATAAGTATTCAAAAAGTTTTGCTGTTTCTTCTCCCTTAGGAACAGCAATTGCTATATTTGGCCATTTTACATAGTCACCTATTTCTAAGAGACTTTGCTTATTTCTTTGAATTCTTTTTCTGGCATTTCAAAGATTTCATCTTGGTTGGGATCCATTGCTGGGGACTTAGTGTGTTCTTTTTGAGGTGTTATAGAACCCTATTTTGTCCTATTGCCGGAATTATTTTTCTGGTTTCTTCTCATTTGGATAGAGTATATCTTCTAATTACTTTTGAGACTATATCTTCTAATTATTTTTGAATTTATTTTTTGATTTGACTGTGATTTTTCACTTTTTTTTTTCACTTTGAGGATGTGACTTTAATGTTTATAGTTTATTGTAACCTAATTCAGCTCTGGGTGCTTTCAGGGGTGAAGACTGTATAAGTTCCCTGGTTATTTAAAATGTTTGTATGTTGGCTTTCTCAGATGCTAGTTGTGGTAACATTATGCTCAGTGTGTGTGTGGAGGTTCACTGTTTCCTGTGGGGTAGCAATGGCAGAGGTCTCATGAAGCTTATCTAGTTCCCAAGTGGTGTGCACTTTTTTGCCTTTTTTTTTCTCCCAGTGTTTTCTTTACCTGGTTGAATAATTCAGATTTCAGGCCAGTAGGGGAGGTGTCCCTGAGTGAAAACCAGCAGATTGGTAAATGCAATACCCAATGGTGGGAAGAAGCCCAAGCCTTGACCAAGGCATCTGTGGGAGCTCTTAGTGAAATGCACTGAGGTCTTTTCACGGGGAAGGGAGGGAGCCACTTCAGCTCCCTTGCCAGGCCCCCAGGAAAGCAGGTCACACTCCTAAATACAGTTCTAGCTATTCAGATTAGCAGGCCCTTTTTATTTGCAGGAATTCTCATGTTCCAAGTAGAGAGAGATTGTGATTCTATGCCTTATGCAAATCTGAATCTGGAGGGGACTCCTCCTCTGGGGACGCAGTTAACTTGAAGTGTTCCAGAAAGGCTATCTACAGGTCCACTCATGCTAAATTCCCATAAGAGAAGCACCAGCTGTGTCTGCAGTGGTGAATGAGGGGGGAAATCTTTTTCTTCAAGACCGTTCTGTAGATTTTCCCAAGTCCAGCACTGTACCTGTGCCTCTACTGAAAGAAACTTTCCACAGGTGGGAAGTTCTGGACTCAAGTCCTGCCATCTAGATTCTTTTTTCCATGGGGTGTGCCACTGATGTGCACTCCCCCTTATCCTAAGAGTAGGAGTCCCTGAGGGCCAGACTAGTATGAATGCTGCTACTTCTCTGGCTCTAGCCACCTAGTGGGACTGCCACACTCCAGGTTGGTGCTGGGGAATGTCTACAAGGGGTCCAGTGATGTGACCTGTTCTCAAGACTCTGTAGTGAGTAGCAACAACAGCTCTCATGGGGGTGACAGGAGAATGACATAGACTCTGTGAGATTTCTTGATTATAAGTAGTCTTGGTGCATTGGTTTTTCTGTAATGCCACCTGTAGTAGTGATGAACTGGTCGCATGGACAGACTCAGGACCTCCTAGTAAGCCAAGGTTATATAGGCAAAGGTGACAGCTTAGGTCACACACAAGTTTTCTCTTTCCTGTGCACTGTTAGTGTGCCTGCAGATGCTGTAATGGATTGTGTCAGTAGGCCTCCAGCCACAAGGTGGCACTTGAAAAAGAGCACCAGCTGGTAGCAGTGGGATTTGTGCTTGCCTTATGTTACGCAGGGGAGGTAAGCTGATGACTCAGGCAATGGGCAGGGCCATTGAGCTCTCAAAATTTTCTATTCTTTGTGTTAAGCTACCAGGGCAGATGGAGGGGCAAAGCCAGCTGGGGGCTGAATCAGGCAAGTTCACATTCTAGCTCTCTTTTGTCTGCCATGTGTGGGCAAAAGCACTGTCCCCAGTGGGGATCAGATAGTGGTCCTCTGGCTGTAGGAGTAATGTTGCAGGGAGTACCACAGCTGCCTCTGCTGCAGAGAAGCATCTGTATGAGGAATAGGGAGCAGCAGGCAGCAGTTAGCCCCACTCAGCTCCCACACACTTGGCAAAGCAGGTCTTGCACCTGCAGTGTCCCACTCGCAGCAGCTTGGTTCCAAGCAGTCAACACTCAGAACTCAACACTGCCCAAGGCCATAAGACTTCCCAGAAGAGACTGCAACCATGGCTTCCAGGTCACGCCTCTCCTAGTTGGCCCATGAAGCAGGGGCACCCAGCTCTTGCACCTATGGCTGCAGCACATTTCCCATCTGCCCCATGGTTCTGACCAAGGGGGTTTGTCTCCACTCGAGATTATATCACGAATCTCAGTTGAGAGCTTCTCTCAACCTGTGACCACTGCCTGAGTTACCTGGCTGACTTCTGTGAGGTCCCCTGTGAGATAGGATCAGGGATGGCTTTCCTCTGTCCTGCTGGGCATGCACACTAAGCCCGTCCCCATGCTGCTACTTCTCATATATGCCCCACTGCTCACTAAATCAGCTCCAGCGCTGGGTGGGATTAAGGCCTTTCCCTGTGGCCTGGATTGCTTGGTTCCCCAGTAGGAGTATATGTCCTAGAGGCAGTTTATCCCTATCTGACATTCTAGGGACTTAAAGTTTTCCTCCTGGCTCATGATTTTAGACAGCAACCTGACACTTCTTTCAAAAAGTCTGTGCTTTCTTTCAGTTTTCCTGTTAATTTTCTGTGTTGCTTCTTGGAAAAAATTTACAGTGTGAATCTCCACACACAATTCTGTCTTTCCAAATAGGAGAGGCATGCTAACAATGACTCTAATCTGCCATTTTGAGAAAAAAAAATACTGGAGGTCTTTATTTTTTTTTAATACTATAGCCCATTCTGAGTTTTCATTACAACCTCCACTCTAGTATTGTATCTACTTTTCACAAACCCTTATCTTTGGTAGCTGGATTTAATTCATTAATTTTAAAATTTTGATAAAAATTATGACATAATTATATTATTATGTATTTTCATTTGATTATCTAGGTTTATGAAACTGACTAAACTAATAATTATTTGATAATATGATTATATTCTGCCAATTCATTCTACGTGTTCCTTGGATATGTTAATAAACAATAGAAACAAGTCCAACTAAAAGACATCACTTATTCTGACTCTTGTTTTGAAAAATAAAACCTGACAAATCAAATAAAAGTAAATGAGTTATTATTCAGACATCCACTTATGGTTTGGGTATATATTTTGACAGTCCATGAGAAAAATTCCTCCAAGGGTCTTCACCTCCAGACATAAAATCACTTTGTTGCTTTTCTAAAAGCTATTTTTAAAAACACCAACATCTTTTTAAATTCTCCCATCTATAAGTTGGCAAAAATATCTGTTGAGGTTTGTAAGCAACATTAACATTTTAAATAATAAATGTAATATTTAGGGACAATTTAATTTAGTGACTCAAGGCATCTAATATTTGGTATCAGTATACGAATATTAAGAAACATTTAGCCCTTTTATTTATAGTATTTTTTATAGTAAAACAATTTCTACTTTCTATTATGCTTCTTGTTCTGTGATAGTTTACTATTTCTGAAACTTTATTTTTTACAAAATTTCAAGTTGAGTCTAAAAAAATTATATTTTGTTGTTTTGAAAAATACGTAGCCTAAAACTGTACATGCTAACAGTTGAGTTTTATCAGTGTTATTTTTACTAAACCTAATCACTATAAAATAGCTATATCTTGTGTATGTTAAAAATGTGAAATAAGATGAGAATGTATTTGCTATTCTATTAATTAAATTATATGAATTAGTAGCAACTATTAAGATGCTTTGAATATTCCCTTAGGTGGATGAGAACATGTGAGCAAGTACTAGCACAGTGGTAGATGCTTTGTAAATTGCTCTTACTTTCCTAATGATTGACAGGCTAATAGCTAAATAACTAAGATAATATAAGCACTTTCTTAGAATTTAGAGATCCACTTAAAAGACAGGTTTTCATTAGGAATTTCTGTACTTTATTTCACATTTCCATAAAAAAAATCCTCATTGCAAGAACCACTGCACCTATTATATGAAAAAACTCAAGAGAAAACAATCAGGTGACCATTACCTCTAAAACACCTGATTTGATTCAGTTATCCTATAGGAATCAAGTATCAGGCTTTACAAGATCCTCTTTTTTCAATGTTGTTTTACTGCCTAAAACAATGTTTAAGATGACTAATTCACGTTTCTTTTTGTGACTTATTTTTACTTGATCTAATTTCTAAAGTGATCTTTATGAGGTGTCTTGCCTAAAAATTTGCCTATACTTATAAATGCATTTTCACTTACTACAATCTCATTTTTTACTGTACTGTAGATGTACAGTTAGTTGAATGCATACATAATACTTTTGAGAATATATGAGGTTTTACATAAGAAGAATCATATTGAAGTGGTTATCTAGCATATCTAAAGAGGAAACAACAGAGAAGCAAGCTGGAAACAATATGTAGACATCAGTAATTATTTTAATTTCACAAGACAAACATTTATCAATCCTGTATTCAAAACCTACATATATGCTACTTAGGATGCAGAAATAGCTATGTACATTCATTGCCACCAAGGCATTTATGATCCAATTGAAGGGCAAATACAAACACAATGAAGTTTCTTTGTGTAGCAATTACACAAATAAAACTTCATAAGCTTGCCAAGAAAAGCAAGAACGAAGAAAGGAAAGAAAGAAGGAAGAAAAACAAATGGCAAAACAGAGCAATATTTAAATGTGGTTATGATTCAGCCAACCATTACATTTAATGATAATGTGCCTGTTTGGGAAATAAAATAGAAGAATTAACTGAATGCCAAGGGGAGGGGGAAGGAACAAATGAAAAAATCAAAACAAAATAAAACTGTGAAAGATAATTAATGGGAATAGAAAAAATTATGTACAAAAAGCATTTTATTTGGAGAGTAATTTAGATCTTTAGGAATATATTGGCTATATTCAAGTTCCTATACTTAAGTGCTATACAATAATAATTAAAGGTACCAGATTTAGTAAAGGGATTTTGCACCATGAATTTTTTTTTCCTGTAAAGATACAAATATATCTCCTTAGTAGAACAGATAACCTCACAGATTTATGACACTGTTATATATCAATCTATATTTATTTATTTAACCAAACAATCTTAATGTTATTTTGCTAAATTGCTTCTAAATGTCCCAGTTTCTCAGATTCCCTTTGTGTCATTTAAAACATCTATTTGTTATTTATTAATTCAAGTTAATATCTTTAAAACCTATTCATTTTATATTTGTCTGAAAGCTATGATTTTAAGCTTCTAAAAATTATATTTTAATAGAAATCAGGGACTAGTTACCTTTAATCTGGGGGAGATACTACATATTTTAAAGCCTGAAGTCAATGTCTAGACAAAAGTTTCTGCTTAACATCAAAGGGTATGCAACATTTGCTGTGGCTCTCAAATATTAAGAAAGGAAAACACAACTGGGAATTTGTCACTAGCACTTTATTCTTTACTCAGGATTGAAGTAGAATTTTTTGACGCCAATATTTTTCAGAAACTTTAAACATTAGAAATAAAATAAAAACTAGCCCAATTCCAATATTCCCCATGGATTTCCTAGCAGAAGAAATGTGAAACTCTTATGGAGAAATAATCCAATATTGCAAACACAAGGATTTGCCACTACAGAAACTAACAAGTTAAATTGAAAACTATATTAAAAATAAATTCACAAACAAAAATTACAAAATACACAATGAAAAATGATATACATGCCAGGCGCGGTGGCTCACGCCCGTAATCCCAACAATTTCAGAGGCTGAGGCGGGTGGATCACCTGAGGTCAGGAGTTCAGGACCAGCCAGGCCAACATGGCAAAACCCCGTCTCTACTAAAAATACAAAAAATTAGCCAGGCATGGTGGCAGGCGCCTATAATCCCAGATATTTGGGAGGCTGAAATAGGAGAATTGCTTGAACCTGGGAGGCGGAAGTTGCAGCAAGCTGATATTGCACCATTGCAACCCAGCTTGGGCAACAAAGTGAGACTCTGTCTCAAAAAAAAAAAACAAAAAACCAGCAATAAGAGTCAGCAGATGTAAAACAGCAGAATTAAAAGTATGTGTAAAAATAGATGAATAATTTGAAAAAAATTATAAAATTAATAATATGTAATGAACATACATAAACACTAAAGACATTTAAAAAGAAATGAAGAGCAGATTTGGCAAAGGATATCCAAAAATAAAAATATAGTAATTGAATTTAAAAACCTATGAGATATGGATGATTAAAATTAATATAATAAATATATATCACAGAGAAATAAAGTTATCAATATAGAGCAAGATGGACAAAAATTATTATTATATTAGATACTTTGGGTGCATTTAAGATGGTATTGAGGCAATATCTAGAGGTAATAACTGGAAATTTTCTATAAGTCATTAAAGAAAAAAAATTTTCACATTCAGGAATTGGACAAGTTCTGAACAGAATTGATAAAAATAAATCCAAACTAGAAAGAACACTGATTTGGTGAATATTTTAAAAAGAAGCTAGTTCACTGAAAAACTAATACAATAATGCAATGGCATACCAAGTTCCAAATGCAAAATATACAGTGCAAGATAGAATACTATACACAGTGCTGAGACTTTTTGGGTCTACAAAATTTTAAGAAAGCGCACTCATGGATTCATTGAACAACCCTTTTTAAAGTAACAAAGAAAGAAAAAAGAAAACACTAAAAAAGACAAGTGTGAGAAGCAAGTGGCAACTGTAAACCTGTTAAATGTAAGGGTAAATCTAAATAAGCATTAATTATTTGAAAATGTGAGGCCAGGAGTCCAGTCCAACCTGGGTAACAAAGTGAGGCATGAGTTACAATTAAAATACTAGAAAAGTATTGACCATTTCAATTAAATGTTCCTTTCAAATCACTAATTATTTTCATGTTCCAAAATTTAAAGGTTAATTTTTTATTCTCATTTTATTGATCTATCAGTAGTCTCTTTTTCTTTAATTAAAAAACAAACAAACAAAAACACATAAACAAACAAACAAAAAAACCCAGCTTTTTTTCTTTGGCTTCCAGAACACGTCCTCTTGGCTTTCTTCTTATGTCTTTGTATGCTATTTCTTAGTCTTTGGAACACTTCTGTGTCCACCCCCACTCCCTTGATGAGTTCTCACAGAGCCATGGTTTACAATATTGTTTATGCTAAGAACTTGCAAATTTGTACCTCTACCTCTTACTTCTCTTCTAAATGCCAGGCTCTTACATCCAACTTCTTATGCTGTCTTCTTTTGAGAAGCTAATAAACATCTCAACTTTGAAATGCACATTCTCACCTACGACCATTTGTCTCAAAGCAAAAATCTTAGAGTCAATCCTACTTATTTTCTTTGTCAAGAATTGCACATCCCACCTTTCAGCGAGTCTTTCTGCTTGCTCTACATTCAGAATCTATCCAAAGTTAGTCACTCTCTTAGTCTCTCCCAGAAACAGATCCCAGTAAAAACATTCAATCAGAAGTAATTTGGGATGTAGAGAAAAACTATATTCTTTTTCTTCCCTCAGCCTTTTGATGTGTTTATTTCAATGCTATTTTTACAATGTTACTTACTGAATACATTAATTAAAATTGTAATCTGCCACTATTACTGTGTATCCTGCCTTACTTTATTTTCTTCACAAAATATATAACTTTTCAACACCTGTCTATATTTTATTTCTTTTGTGTCATCCTACATCTCACTGTAATCTTTACAAAGGCAAGGATTTTTTTCTTTAATATCCTAAATGTAGATGTTTGTCTCTAGTAGATTCAATGGTGCCTCCCAAAATATGATAAATATGCACATATCTTTCCATATGCTAGCCCACAGAAACTGTAGATGTGACCTAATTTTTTTGTATATATTAATAAGGATCTTGAGATGACGTCATACTGGATGATCCTAGTGCACCCTAAATCCAATAAGTGTTCTTATGAAAGACAGAAGAGGAGAAGATACAGGAAATAGAAGAAGGCTACTTGAGGATGGAAGCAGAGATTGGAGTTATGCAGCTACAAACCAAAGAATGCCTTGAGCCACCAGCAGCTGAAAGAGGTAAAGTAGGATCCACCCATAAACACTTGAGAAGGAAAGTGGGCCTATCTATACCTTTATTTCAGATTTCTGCCCTACAGAACTGTAAGAGAATATATTTCTTTTGCTTTAAACATTTAGGTTTGTGGTAATTTGTCATAACAGATCCAGCAAACTCATATACTGGCACTGAGCAGATATTCAATAAGAATTGATTATGAATTATAGTCATTATGATAGTGCGGCATTGACTCAGAGATGAACAATTTGTTCACTGGACTATAGCAGGAAATTCAAAAATTCATGGTAGACTTTCGATATTTTACATATGAATTGTCGTATCACCCAGAAAAATGAATAACTATTCATAAAATAGCAGTGATACATTTGATTAACATATAGAAAAATTGTAAATTGTATTCTATCATCACATTAACTTCAAATGTGAAAGACATCTTGTATCACTTTTAAAGAAAATATAAAATATATTTTATTTAGTAAAATTGAATTTGTAGAACGATGACTTTTTTTTTACTTTACTGCTTAATACTTGAGAAATTCTCCTCTTTGATGAGGCTATTAGAAAACAGGAACTCTAACAATTATATAGTGGGAAGATAAATTCATACAACGACTTTGGAAAGCTACTTGACAATGTAAGGATGAAAGTGCCCAAAGTTGTAAAATTTCCCTGCTCTATGTGTATCCTATGAAAATTCTAATATATATAAACAACAAAACAATAAGTATTTATTGTAGCTTTGTTTTTAACATTTACAATGGTAAATATAAAAATGCCAATATTTCCTGATATGAAAATTGATAGCTTTATATTATATATATAATGAAATCCCATATAGAAATTAAACAAAAACAGATACCCAAGTATCAGCTGGAATGGTTCTCAAAAATATCATAGTGAGATTATAAAGCATGTGTTGAAATAATACAGAGAAAACAATAACATCTTATTTAAATTTGAAGATACAAACACTACTGTATGCGGTATAAAATATTCTATACACAGACCTGTACTTAAAAATAGAGAAATATACAAGGGGATGCTAAACAATTTTAGCCTGTAGTTATCCCTTGTAGAATTTCTTATAATCTTGTTTCTGGTTATGTTGCTGTATCAATTATTTTTCAGTTTTGGGTATGTGTGAAATATTTCATAAAAGGAAGTTGGACGTTTTAATAATACATTGACTTTAAGAGGAGGAAGAATAGGTGATTGGGGTATTTTGTTATATACCAACACATGACTGAAATAATCATCTATTCTAATTCTGTTCAGTTCAGTGGAAAGTCTTTGAAGCTTTTTTAACAGAGTTGCACTTTGTCATATCTTTGAGAACATTGTGTTAGATTAAGTGGAACAGGAATGCTTAGAGGGAAGGAGATTAAAATAATGTGTTGTATGGATATTTGAGGTGACATACAATAGAACTGGAAAATAAAGAAACTTCATGAAAAATAGTATAAAAAGAGACATAAATGACTTACCAATTGACTGCTGTGTTTGATAGATGGGAATTGTAGTCGTAACATTGGATGAAATAGGAAAGACAGACTAGTAGAGCTCTTTGGAGGCAAATTCTATAAGTTCTTTTTACATTTTGAGTGAAAGTTTTCACTTTTAAATGAAATGCATATGGATAAAAAATAAAGGTAAATATAGTTATTATGAAATTGTCAAGATAAAATGAGAGTTGATGCATAAAAATGAATAGACTGGAAAAAGGGAACTTTTTAAATATAAAAAAAATTGCCTCTTTTCTGACAGTATTCTTTCTTCTTAAACTTCATGATTGTTCCTGGAAATTAAAGTGAAAAAAAACTATCATAAAACTATGACTCTATCATACTGTAACACTTCAGGGCCCATATTATTATACCTCCTCTGTCCATCTCGCATGACTGTTTAAAATGGTTCTGTTTGATACACTGACACTCAATTTCTTTTTATATGGAATGTAATTTGGGAGATTCTCTAAACAATCTGTATAATGGCAGACATGGAGTACAACTGAAATTAGAAATATTCTGTTGTAGTTTCCATTCTTTCTTAAAGGTTTTAACATTTTGTTATGAACATGACAAGCCTTATTTTTTTTTCCACACATAGAAGGAACACGAATTATAAATAGAACAAAACACTGTGAAATACTGCAAATGTGGAATAATTATTTGATCTCATGCACACACCTCGGTAATTTAAATTAAATTCTATAAGTAAATGACTAAATATTTTAAAATTAACTACTTTAAATTAAGATGTATTTAGAAATAATTTTAATGTTATTGAAATTTTTTTAAAAAAACTATTGTAATATAAGAAATCATGACATAATGCAAATACTACATATTTTCAGAAAATTTGGTAATAAATATCATCTCCCAAAAAACCATCTTAGTCATTGCATAAAATTCTACAAATGATATCTGATTTTAATTTAGAGGAAAGTACATGAACTGAAAGTCCCGACTGAATAAATGCTTAAAAAAGGATGATTTAAAAAAATTTAAAGGTAACATTTATTAATTAAAATAATTCTGATAGAAAATCCTAACAATGTACATTATTGTCTAGATTTATAATTCCGTAAATTAAATATACATCCCCCTGCAAGTGGCAATACTTCAAAAATTAATTCTAGTTTACAATTTAGTATAAAATAATGTATTAGAAGTGTCCCTGAAAGATGGAGTTTAATGGAGAAAAATGAGGAATATTATGAGTATCAGGACATGGAGAAGAGTAAAAAGTCAATATTGTGGGACAAATTAAATGACATTAAAAAATCACCTTTTTTCATTTGATATAATGTAATGGTTATAAAATATCTCCTCAGAGTTCTTCAACTGTCATTTCATTGAGATGTGGGGACTGGGGTCTCTGACCTTGAATCTGGGAGGACTTTTAACTTCTTTGACTAAGAGAATACAAAAAAAATCAATGCTGTGTAACTTTTGAGACCTGGCCTAAATCGACAATCTGACTTCTGCTCACTTTTTTTCAGACTCCTCCATCTCAGGAGGGCCCCAGTATTGCCAGGCTGGGAGAAACCCAAACCATGAGGATAGACCACGAATAGGAGTTCTGGTTGACAATCCCAGTTCATTCCTAGCTTCAAATACACAAGGCCAAGTGCCAGATATGGGCATAAAAAGCAATTTTGGAAGTGGACACTCCAGTCCAAGCTGTCCTAGCCCTCAGCTATTTGAGTTGCATCCAGACATGTAAATCTTCCCAGCTGAGGCCTCATCATTGAGGTGCAGAAAAGGGGCATGCCCACTGTGCCTGTTTCTAAATTCCTGACCCACAGAACCTGTGAGCATAATACAAGTTTACTATTTTATACCAGTAAGTTTGGGGTATAGTATTATGCAACAATACAACCTGATGCACAAAAAATCTCTTCTTTGTTACATAAACTCTATATAAACTGGCATATGCTTAGTTCTTAAACCTCTCTCCAATCTCCTTCTCTTTCCCCATACTCAAACTAATCTTTTTTTTTCTGCTCCTTCAACAAACCAGCACTTGTATTTACACATTAGATAAATTGCACCATTAACTTAAAAAACACAATTTCCAAGATTTTTACAAAACTGTGTCTTATAGTTTAAAGTATCTCAGCCTTTAAGTATCACTTGTTAGATAACATTTAGTTGCCAATCTTTATAATTGCTTTCTCTTACTCTACTCCTTAGCTTACAGTCCTTTCTGCCATATTTATCGTATTTGTATAACAGATCAAAATCTGTGGTTATCTATTTATTTACCTAATTTTCAGCTCTCTCCACTTATTATCATATAAGTTACAAACATTTCAGGTCATATCTTCAGTTTACCACACTATACCAGTAGCTTAAATATCACATTACCCATACTAGCCACTCAAAAATATTTATTATGGAATTAATGGAACTCTAAATTTAATCTGGTCTCCAAACTAAATATATGGCTTAAGTATCAATATAGGTTTCAGGTAGATAGGGTTTAGCTATAAGGAATACAGGGTGCAACTAAAAGCAGTTTTCACAGGCAAGATGTTTACTTACTTCTACAAAAGAAAGTACAAGCCAGGACAGGATAAGAAGAGCAGCCTCACAGGGACGCTGAAGATTTGTTATACACATGCAGGGACATTAATAGCATTTCCTTAGAAAGAGGTATGATATAAGATAGCTTGATGCCTGTAGCACCCTGAGACATGATTGCTCATATTGCAGCCAAGAAAAATAGGAAAGGCTGAAGCAGCAAAGGGCAAAGGGGCAAAAGGCCAAAGCCATGCAGGCCAAGTTTGTGCTTTTTTAAAGGCTTTCTTAGGAACCTATCTTATGATATCCATTTCAATGTCACAAAATTCACATGGCCACACCAAGAAACATGGATATTTTACTTTCCAAATAAAAAACTAGGCAAGAGAAGTTTACATTTGCATAGCCTATCAATAGTGTCTGCCAAGATATTTCCATTTTTTAGTGTATCAGAAAATTGGGCACACATGACTAACGTACTTTTTTCATTTTAAATAGAAACAAATGTGTGTGCATATATATATATAAAATATACATATTTATATGTGTGTAAATATATGTGCATGTGTGTGTGTGTGTGTATGTAAAACCAATCAACTTCTGCTGAAAAACTTCTGTAAAACTCATTTTTTTTTTTCCAGTATGTTTCCTCTGAAGACAATCTTCACATCTAGGGAATATTAATGGTAATAATAACAGCATTGATTTATTGAGAGTTTTCCTATGTAACAATTACTATACAAGTATGCCATTTAATCTATTTCTCTAGTTTCAATATTAATATTGGTACTTAATAAACGAGTAAACTGAAAATAATAAGTTTAAAATCTTTTTTCACAGCTAGTCAGCAATACAACTGGGATTTGATATCAGATTCATACGATTCCGAAGACCCTGACCACCAAATGCAAAAGGTACATGGCAACAGCTGATTGCAATGAGAGAAAAACAACTAATAAGGCAACAAGCAGGATACTAAGATATTTTCCAAAATGAATAGCACTGATTCTGTGAGGAATGAACATTGCCAAACAAGTGTTTTGTTTTGTTTTTCAACTCCTCTAAAAAAATTCACATATATGCATGCCACTTTCCTGAAAAATATCTGCCTCATAATTGCCATAAGAAACGGTATGGACAACTCTTAAACATTCTGAAAGTAGTCAGGGATGGGGGAAAGCATTTGCTGTTTTAGTCTGTTCCTGGTCTTATAACAAATACCACAAACTGGGTAATTTATGATTACAGAAATGTATTTCTGAAAGTTCAGGAGTTGGGAAGTTCAAGATTATGGCACCAACATATTCATTGTCTGATGAGGGCCTGTTTCACAGATGTCATTTTGCATGACTTAATCACATGGTAGGAAAAGCAAAGGGACAAAATGGACAAATGCCATGTTGTCACATGGCAGAAGAAATGGAAGAGCCAGGAAGCTCTCAGAAGCTTCCTTAATTAGGATATTAATCTCATTCATGAGTGCATAGCCATCATGACTTAATTGCCTCCAAAGGCCCCACTTCCTCATCACTTTGAGGATTAAACTTAAACATGAATTTGGAGGAAATATATCCAAACTCTAGGACTAGTTTAAATGTAGCTAAAAAGGTTTCTTCATTCTGTAATCGTTAATATGCTAATATTTTTGTAAATATCCAAGAGGAAGCTAAAGCATATAATATTCCAAAATTTATTTCTGTTTGTGGATATTATGTTTTCCTCTCATTCTATCTTAAGAAATTAGTGTCCTCAAGAAACACTATATAGGATAATTGTCTTTCAAGTTCATCAACTACCAGTTCTTGATTCTTCAGTAGCTAATCCTAGATAGTAATACTTAACAGATTATAAAAACTTGGGTGCTGCTATATAAATGCGCTGAAACTCCCAGGGAACCAAACATAAGGACTTAAAGAGAGATGTAACTAGGGATCATAATCATGAATTTCAGCTGCTTCTCTATCTTTGTCAGTGAGCAAATGACCATACAAAATAAGGTATTCAATTATTAATTCTGTGCCCATATCCCGGAATTTTGCCCAATATATTTGTAAGTTTAGATAAATAAGGCACTAATGCCAGGGATATGTAGCATTAGTTCTGGGTTTATAAAGGGATATTCACAACCTCTTGCCATCCACAGAATTTATCAGCCCAAAGTAAACTATACTCGTTGGTTAAGGGCAACCTGAGACATGTTTAAAACTGAGGTGGACTGAAGAGTCAACTAATTGCAGGAATCTTTTATTTGGTTGAAATGTTCAAACAAGTCCCACTCTGAATTCTATTAGAAGTCCATCATTGGCTTCTCTCTCTTTCTCACTGTCTTAAATCATGTATTTTATAACACTATGAAGAATGAAGTTCAAAAGAATAAGCTAAATTTAATTAATTAAATTATTTATTTATTTATTTTGAGACAGAGTCTCACTCTGTCACCCAGGCCAGAGTTCAGTTGCACGATCTTGGCTCAGTGCATCCTTCACCTCCTGGGCTCAAGAGATCCTCCTGAAGCAGGGCATTTCCCTGACCCCTTCATGGGACTCGTGACAGGGGTGCCCCATTTACTCAGCCCACTGCTCTCAACTCCTCAAGGGAGGGAGTGCGCAATTGAACAAGGCAGGAACTGGAGTACACGAGTGCTGGAACCAGTGGCCTCTTTGGTGCCAGAAGGAGTGAACTCACCCACTCTGACCTGCTGTGTTCCACCTCTTGCAGGAGAGAGCATGCAGGTGAGCAGGTACAGGAGCCAGGAAGAGAGCTTTGGGGTGTTGGCAGGAGCAAACTCCATGTGGGCCCCATAGCAGCCCCTGGGGTTAGGGGGGTGCCTGTGATTCCTGAAGCCCCAGTGGGCATATTACAGTGCTCCTTTAGCTCTGCCGTCTTCAGACAGCTGAAGTGTTAGCAGCTCAGCATGCCTTTTTGTATCCACACTCACTCCTGAGCTCTTGTTTGGCATCCAGGAAAAAATCAGCTCACAGAAACGAATTGAAGGATGGTAAATGCAGAGGATTTTATTGCCAAGGAAAGTGGCTCTCAGCAGGAAGGGCAGCTGGGAAGGAGATGTAGCAGGAAGGTTTCTGGCTGGACTCTTCTCCAAAGTTGCACTGTCAAGCTGTCTCTCTGAAATCAAGCTGCTTCTCTCCAACGTCCAACCGTAGTCTCTGATGCCCAGCTGCTGCTTCTCTTTTGATGTTCAGCTGCTTCTCTTTTTTGCTAGCTGAGTCTGGGGTTTTTATGGGCACAGGATGGGGGACAGGGGAGGTCATGGGTAATTTTGTAAAAGGCAACATTTGAGTGGGAAAACAGGAATGTATGTTCTCACTTTGGGCTTTGGTTCCAGGCTTGAGGGTGGAGCCGTTGCCAGGGACCTGCCCTCTTTTGCCCAGAATTTCCCTGCCTCCCTTCCCTTTCACTCCCACCCCATCACTCCCACCTCAACATCCTGAGTAGCTGGGATTATAGGCGCACACCACCGCATCTGATTAATATTTAAATTTTTTGTAGAGACAGGGTTTTGTCATGTTGCCCAGGCCGGTCTCAAACCCTGGGCTCAAGTGATTTGCCCACCTCAGCCTCCCAAAGTTCTGGGATTACAGGTGTGAGCCAGTGTGCCTGGCCCTAAATAATATTTATATGGGCATTTTGTAATTATTATTTTTTAATAATATAAATGTTTCCTTTTTAATATGAATTTTTCAAGAGTTTTATAATTGACTGATTATTCATTAAAATTTAATGAAGGACAGGAATTGGCTATTTTTCTGAATGACAAAAATTAGGAAATTTTTAGAGAGATGATGAATTTATCCTAGAATATATGGAAAGAGTAAATCTTGTTATATAGAACAAGCAACTTTCCAATCCGAAGGATCTTAGAATAATAAAAATTTTTTTTCTTATAATTGTTTTCTTATAATTGTTTCAAAGTAATACTTTAGACCAAAAATTGTATATCTCAGTAGGTGGCCTATATGATAATTAAAAAATTAAAAGCTAAGTTAATTAAATTTTTAATTAATTTAATTTTTATTAATTTTAATTATCAATCTTCATTGAAGAATTTTGTCCAAAAAATGTGGACAATATGTGTCATAAGGATTAATCACCATAAAATAGTCCCCAAAGGAAATTAAAGGACTGATTAGATAGTACTAAAATAACAATCATACAAAGTAGAAAGTGGTGTTATAAGAGAAATGTAGATAAAATATTGTAAGAAACTAAAGTAGGAAGATAATGTTTTGAGTTGTGGGAGATCAGGGAAGGTTTTTTGGAAAAAGTAACGTTTAAGCTAGATCTTAGAGAGACATGACTTAATAGAAAAGTAGGCAAAAAAATATGAATAACCCTTTCAGATTACAGGCAATACAAATTATGATAAATATAAAAAAATTCTTACTTCACTAGTAATCAAGTAATTGAATTAAACAATTGGATACCATTTTTTCTTCAGCAGACTGGCAAAACATAAGATGTTAACAAGGGTTTTGAGGGTACAGGGAAGAGGGTAGGCTCAAACTATGCTGGTATCAATGTATAACCAAGATCTCCTTTGGAGTACAATTGTTATATAGTCTACATTCTGTAAAAACTAAACACATATGTTTGCCTTTCCACTTTTGGAAATACATGGTAGATAATCATGCAAGAATGTCAATTGCAGTATTGTGTTGTAATTTTTAAAAATACTCTAGATATTCATCAATATATAACTACAAATAAAAATAGTTGGACTATCATGCAGACTACAATGCCTCTATTGTGGCATAATAGTTAATAATACAATCTCTGAGAGCAGAATATCTGGATTTGAATAATTTGCTCTCCCTCTAAATGACCTTGAGCAAAGTACTTACAATCTTTTTCTCTCTTCCATAAAATGGAGATAACAGCATTGCCAATTTATTAGCTTGTCATGATGATTAAATGAGATAATCCATATATCACACCAAGTACCCACTACGTAATAAGCAACTAATTAAATTTGACTAATATTAATAATTTCATTATTATTCATCTTAATATCATGGCATGACTTCTAAGGTATATTATTAAATAGAAAAAGATAAGTTTTAAACTGAGCCATAGTTTAGAACTTGACTTAAAGCAGACTCACAAAGCAAATGCTCATATCTAGGACAGGTAAATCTACACGTGTTTATACACACATTCACTGTATTTGGGGAAAATACACACCAAACTGGAAACACTGGTTGTCTCTGAAGAAGAGACAGGGCTTTGGCAATATTCAAATTAGGCTTTAACTGTTTCTGAAAGTTTCAGTTCTCTATAAGGAGAAGGTATTACTTATGTAATTTTTAAAAATTACATATTAAGTACTAAATGACTGAAGCTTCTTAGAATTGATGGGTGCAGGCATCACATGGGCAGCAAGGCATTCACATAATGGAGAATCATGGTCTCCTGTAGATGTCTAGGAGTGATAAAATTAACTACCTTTTAGGTGGTGTAGTTTCCTGGTTGAGCTGATAATTATTAAGTTAATGATTAGTAGGTTATTTCTCAACACCGAAGAGATTATTAGTGTTTCAAAGTTTTCACTGTAATTCATCTGTAAAACCATTCAACCTACCTCCAGTACACCTCAGTAATCTGGTGACAAGAGAGTATTCTTGCTCACTTTATTTACTCTTCAGTGATCTAATGCCAATAATGCCAGCCTATAGAAACAACAGCCAATTATAACAAAAAGCACATTAGAAAGTCAAATATAGCTGGGTAATAGACATAAAAATACCTTATTAACATTTTTATAACACTCTGAACTGAAATAAACAGACCACTCTCGATTTTAGCATCTGGTTCCAAACAATTCTTGTTTGGGTGATAACTTTTTAAAAACAAATGTTGGGCATCTTTCATCGACTTTTCATCAAGTAACAGCTGTTCCTTTAGAGCAAAATGTATGCATGTTGGAAGTGTGACTGATGCTCACTTCTGTTTTGTTCTGTGTGAGAAAGCTTTATGTTGGGTGCAATTCAGAAAACAAATGGTTTCAAATCTTTTGAATAGATGCCATAGCACAGTTTAAATGCAGCTTCTTGTGATTTTTAGAATAATTTCAGCCACAATTTTTACATTCAATTTATAACTATACTAAGACATTCTCCTTCAGAACAAAGGCATTTCTGTTTTCATGTGCTCTTGGGCATCTTCGGGTCATTCATTATATCAATCATTTATCTTCGTAAAGCGTTTGGCTATGAACAATTACTTACTACACCAAAGCATGAAAGAAATAGATATAGCTCATCTGCTCTTGAATGCATTTCTACAGATTCCCTTAGGATAATTCCTGTTTCAACTTAAGCTATTAAATTTTTTGCTGCATTCAAATCACCTCATCTGCTGAAACATGTGGAGACAAATAACCACAGACGTTTGCATGAAGGTTCAGGTGTATTTAAGGGCAGCTTAATTATAAGACACTATGAAATTCTCCTAATTAATTTGGAGCTAAATATTCTACATCAAATATTTTACAAAACTTAAAGAAATATTTACTTTTCACATGATTACGATTTTGATACTAGGTTAAAAATGACTTATACTGGCATTTTTTAAACAGTTTAAGACAAATAATGTTTTTGATACTGTTTATTATAACATATGAAAAGTCTTTATGCAGATATACTCTATTTTATCGTCTGTTCATTTCATGTTGCATTTGCATGCACTCCTGAATTACTTGTTACTAAAACATACAGAACAGACAGAAAGTTAAAATTGGTTAATTTCTATCTAATCTGGATAAGATAAACACAATGAGTGAAATAAATAATTATGTCAAATAACAAAAACCTCATGCATAGAAACTTCAACATTTCTGAATAACAAAAAGTATAACATTATGTAGGGCAATGTTCCACTTTTGTATCAACTAGAAATAAGCCCTGAATCTGAATGATGAAATTTTAATAGTAACTGTTGACCACAGGGCAGAGTTTACTCTCTTGGTCAGATGCTTTTGTGAATGACACAAACTGTGTGTCCAGATCACTTTTCCCTATAATCACTTCAAATTACTTGACTTTTTGATCTCTTCCTTTTTTCTGTCTCTTTTTTGTCCACAACAGATATTCCAAATATCCACCGAGTTTTCAAATACTCCAGTCCATATTTGGTCTTCCCATTCCTAGCAGAAGTACTTTGTCTTCTACTTCCCAGAATAATGTTAATTATCTTATTTTAGACTTGCTTGCTTTAATTTGTATTTATTCTTGGCTTTTTTTCTTTCCATCTCACAGGATAAGAGGGCATCTCTTCTTCCATATTCATAAATACGTTGCCAACAGGAATTTGTTGTTATTTACACTTTCTTCTCCTAGACATTTTAATTTTACTTACCTTCCCTGAGCACATGGCAAAGTCAAAACACAAGCAGAATCTTACTTATGAATAGAGGCAGATTTATTAAGCCAGGGGTAGGCAAACTATAGCCAATGAGCCAAAGCCAGGCTGCCACGGGTTTTTATAAATAAAATTTTATAGGAACTCAGCCACAGACATTCCTTTACATATTGCCTACAGCTGCTTAAGCACTACAAAGGCAAAGTTGCATATTTACAACACAAATAATATGGCCTGCAAGCCTAAAGTATCTACTATCGTGCCCTTTATAGAAAATGTTTATCAGCTTTTGTTCTCTTATCCTAAGTTATGAGGCTTACATTTCCGGCCACCTCATTTGCATTTGAGTTTCCAGTTTTGAGTTTGTAGTTTTGCATTCTTGCTTAAAGAGCCCCAAACCCTGACCGCCAAATTGAATGTGCTGTAGATCCCACAAAATATGGATCCAATCAAGCTGATGCCATGTCATTATCTGTAGCTTTTATTCTTTGCCATCACACACCTTCCTTGAACAGTTAGGCTTCTGCAAAAAATCTTAAATAATCACTGATATGGGTTGGTTCTGTGTCTTCACCCAAATCTCATCTTGTAGCTCCCATAATTTCCACGTGTTATGGGAAGGATCCAGTGGGAGATGTCTGAATCATGAGGGCACGTATGTCCCATGCTGTTCCCATGATAGTGAATGGATCTCACGAGATCTGATGGTGTTAAAAATGGGAGTTTCTCCACACAATCTCTTTTTTGCCTGCTGCCATCCATGTAAGATGTAGCTTACTCCTTGCCTTCCACCACGATTATGATGCCTCTCCAGCCATGTGGAACTGTAAGTCCAACAAACCACTTTCTTTCGTAAATTGCCCAGTTGCAGGTATGTTTTTATCAGCAGCATGAAAATGAACTAATACAGTAAATTGTTACCAGTAGAGTGGGGTGCTGGTGGAAACATATCCAAAAATATGGAAACGACATTGGAACTGTGTAACAAGCAGAGGTTGGAACAGTTTGGAGGACTCAGAAGAAGACAGGAAAATGTGGCCAAGTTTGGAACTTCCTAGAGACTTGCTGAATGGCTTTGAACAAAATGCTGACAGTGATATGGACAATGAAATCCAGGCTGAAGTGGTCTCAGCTGGTGATAAGGAACTTGTTGGGAACCGGAGTAAAGGTGAATCTTGCTACATTTTAGCAAAGACACTGGTGGCATTTTGCCTGGCCCTATAGATTTGTAGAACTTTGAACTTGAGAGAGATGATTTAGGGTATCTGGCAGAAGAAATTTCTAAGCAGGAAAGCACTTAAAATGTGAATTCGGTGCTGTTGAGGGCGTTCAGTTTTATAAGGGAAGCAGAGCATAAAAATTTGGAAAATTTGCAGCCTGACAATGCAATAGAAAAGAAAATCCCATTTTCTGAGGAGAAATCCAAGCCAGCTATGGACATTTGCATAAGATAATGGGGAAAATGTCTCCAGGACATGTCAAAGGTCTTTACCTCAGCCTCTCCCATCACAGGCACAGAGACCTAGGAGGAAGAAGTGGTTTTGTGGGCTGGGCCCAGGGTTCCTTTGCTGTGTGCAGCCTAGGGACTTCATCCCCTGCATCACAGCAACTCTAGCTATGGCTGAAAGGGGACAACATAGAGCTCAGGCTATGGCTTCAGAGGGTGCAAGCCCCAAGCTTTGGCATCTCCCATGTGGTGTTGAGCCTACAAGTGCACAGAAGTCAAGAATTGAGGTTTGGGAACCTCTGCCTAGATTTCAGAAGATGTATGGAAACGCCTGAATGCCGAGGCAGGAGTTTGCCACATAGGTGGGGTCCTCATGGAGAACCTCTGCTAGGGCAGTGCAGAAGGAAAATGTGGGGAGGGAGCCCCCACACAGAATCCCTACTGGGGCACCACCTAGTGGAGCTGTGAGAAGAGGGCCACCGTCTTCCAGACCCCAGAAGTGTAGATCCACTGACAGCTTGCACTGTGTGCGTGGAAAAGCTGCAGACACTTAACACCAGCCCATGAAGGCAGCCAGGAGGGAGACTGTACCCTGCAGAGCCAGAGGGGTGGAACTGCCCAAGACCATGGGTATCCACCTCTTGCCTCAGCGTGACCTAGATGTGAGACATGGAGTCAAAGGAGCTTTAGATTTGACTGCCCTTCTGGATTTCAGAATTGCATGGGGCTTGTAGCCTCTTTGTTTTGGCCAATTTCTCCCATTTGCAATGGCTGCGTTTACCCAATCCCTGTACCCCTATAACCCCATTGTATCTAGGAAGTAACTAACTTGATTTTGATTTTGCAGGGTCATAGGTGGAAGGGACTTGCCTTGTCTCAGATGAAACTTTGGACTGTGGACTTTTGAGTTAATGCTAAAAAGAGTTGACATTTTGGGGGACTGTTGGGAAGGCATGACTGGTTTTGAAACATGCAGATATGAGATTTGGGAGGGGCTGGAGTGAAATGACATGGTTTGGCTCTGTGTCCCCATCCAAATCTCATCTTCTAGCTCCCATAATTTCTGTATGTAGTGGGAGGGACCTGATGGGAGAAGACTGAATCATGGGGGCAGGTCTTTCCCATGCTGTTCTCATAATAGTGAATGGGTCTCACAAGATCTAGTGGTGTTAAAAACAGGATTTTCTCTGCACAAGCTCTTTTTTTGCCTGCTGCCACCCACATAAGATGTGTCTTGCTCCTTTTTGCCATGATTGTGAGTCCTCCCCAGCCATGTGGAACTGTATGTCCAATAAACCTTTTTCTTTTGTAAGTTGTCCAGTCGTGGGTATGTCTTTATCAGCAGTGTTAAAATGGACTAATACAATCACTCTATCAAATGAGATAATATTTATTCCTTTACCACTGACAACTCTCTCTCGGCTCTTCTATTCAATCATGTTACTGATAGACGCTTTGCTTTTTGTTTTTGTTGTTTAACCTGATTGTTATAGCTTATTTTATGAATTTCTGTTCTTCTTTTAATTTTACAACAATTTTACTATTTCTCCTTACATGTTTATAAGTCATATGGAGACTCCTTCTCATCTACCCTGACCCCAGAATATTAAAACTTTTCAGAGTTTCAGGATTAATTCCATTATATGGACATGATTCCTTGAGATAGGAAAAACTGATTGGATTGTGACATTAGACTTATCAGAATCTAAGATCTTACAAAATATAAAGCTTTACTAGTAATTTCACGAACTCAGGTAATCATTAGGCATAGGCAAATCAGAGAATTATTTAGATCTCTTAATCTGATTCTTTAGATCCTTGGTTCTGTCATTAGATACTCCCTTGCCCAGGCAGATAGATGAGACTTCTAGAGAGGTATGCAGACAATTTATTTACATGGAGATACCTGTCTCAATTATCAAATATCTTAATTTTTATGCAGATAGTTACATATGTGGTATATGTGACATTTTCCAGGGAGCCCCATAAATCCACAACCTTCTACTTTGTTAACCATAAGCAATTCTAAACGACCAAGTACATTCTGCTAAAAGCATTTCTGTGATAGATAATCACTCTCCTGCCAGCAAAAAAACAAATTGTTTGTCAGGAGCTGTCATTAGTATGTTTATATAAGCAAAATGGGCTTCCTTCCTTCTGTGGATCCTGGCAGGGCATCTCAGTAATCAGAAAGAATCAAAGACCCTTTCCTTCCCAATCTGCTCTGGCCTTGGTCAACATCTTAGTGCCAAATATTGCTGGTGTATTATCATTATTGTCTTACACCATTTTCTGCAGTGTTTCACTTAAGCCAACTAATACTCTGACCTTGATTTGAACCATCCAACAGAGAGTAGGAATTCCCTCCACAAAGCATGTTACTCATTAACATCTTCCTTTACAAGTCTCTTGATGTTCATTCACAAACTCAATTACCTTTTTCCTCCATCAACCTCAATTATTTGCATCATTTTCCATGGGCCTATGGGAGTATTTAATTGAATACATATTTTTTCTTCTCAAATCAAATTTTCTGAAAAAAATTTGTTTCTATGAACTGTATTTTAGGTATATTCCAGGTTGGTACAAACACTAATTTTCAGGGGTCATTATGTCAAAGAGCCCATCCACACCCCATGGCCTACATATGTCAAAGGATTGTTCTTTATTCATCCACTTTCTATGAATTCCACACACGGGAGATAAACTTCTTTTTCATCCATATTACCAGGGTTGTCAGGGAGCAACACTGAAGGTCACAGTGTTCAGTGAAACCTTGCCATAACTTAGACTAAACACGTTTTTCCCATAATTTTACTTCTTCAAATTCTTTCTTTTTCTTTCTTTCTCTTTCTTTCTTTCTTTCTTTCTTTCTTTTTCTTTCTTTCTCTTTCTTTCTCTCTTTCTCCTTTTCTTTCTCTCTCTCTCTCTCTCTCTTTTTCTTTTTCTTTCTTTTTTTTTTTTTTGACAGGGTTTCACTCTTGTCACCTGGCTGGAGTGCAGTGGCACAATCTCGGCTCACTGCAACCTTCACCTCACAGGTTCAAGCAATTCTCCTGCCTTAGCCTCCCGAGTAGCTGGGATTACAAGCACCTGCCACCATGCCTGGCTAATTTTGTATTTTTAGTAGAGACGGGGTTTCGCCATATTGACCAGGCTTGTCTTGAACTCCTGACCTCAGGTGATCCACACTCCTCAGCCTACCTAAGTGCTGGGATTTTACAAGTGTGAGCCACTGCGCCCGACGTTGAGCTTGTTTCTTTATGAATTCCTGCAACTCAACATTAAAGACATAATATCCCATAGTGATTAATATATCCAATAGTCCTTCCTGACTAAAGGTACAAAGTTAATCCTAGTGTTGTTAATAAGCATGGAAGTCATTATTTATTCAGTGTCTTCGGTTCAAGCATTGTCTTAAACCAAACTGATTTCCTACTACAACTGAGTCCTCTAAAAACAGCTTCCTCTAGTGTCCCTATTTGAAGTAGCAAGTCATTTTTATCATAATGATGGGCCTCCTAGAACACTACTTCAATTAGATTTAATATCACATGACCAAATCCTGTAATTCTTTCAAAATGCCTGGCAAAGGGGCCAGTGCTGCTTAACTTGCCACTCATGTAGTTCATATTATGTGCTAATTAAATGTGTCTAGTTTGAAAGCATTGTCTACACCTACAAATAATGTGCTTCATGAAATTCTCAATTAGGTATATCCTAGCACCAGATACCGTTTTATCTGGCTGTGCCATAGGCTTCCCTTAAATGTCCTCTACTTACCTCTTGAGGGAGTTATTTATAATTTTAAAGCATTAAAGCAAACATAAAATCACATTCTCTGAGGCTTTCTAGGTTCTAGTTTTATATTATTTAAATTAATTCCATTTACATTCACACTGATATGTTCAAAGCAACAGACCAGATCAAGCTGTGACATACCAGACAGGCAGCCACTATCTGCTTTCTATCATAACCAGGGAGCTGTCTTAGCAATGTATCATTTTGATTTATGGCCATATAGGGTGCAGAAATTCTATTCTACAGCATCCTCTGCTCTGTACAATTCATTGGTAGTTTCTCTGGAAAAAAATAATCTAGAATGGTAAACAAAGCCTAGAAACTGAGTGATAACTGTAGTCAACTACACACAAGCTGAGTTGTCAGGGGGCACTTTGTCATCTGTTTTATTCAAATTATACAGGTAGAACATCCAAATCAGTAGGAGTCCAATTTTCCTTTTCTGCAGTAAGCAGGCCAAGAGATTTTCACCAACAAAGCCCATTTGTTTGGATGACAATAGCAAAAGATAGTTAAGTATGATATCCTCACTCTGAGCTGTTTGCATGAAAATATTGTAGTGGCTTCCCTCCACGGTAATGTAATCTACTTATAAACACCTTTCCCATCTGCTATGATTTTACCCTATTTCCAAATGCTTCCTCCCAATATCAGGCTGTATAACTCATCATGCATAATGTTTGCCCGCACAATCAATAACAAGAACCTTACTAGCACACCCAAACAAATGTTTGGGTTTTATTTGTTTGTTTGTTTAACTTTTATTTTAAGTTCATGGGTACATGTGCAGATTTGTTACACAGGTAAACTTGTGTCATGGGGTTTGTTGTCAAACAAATGTTATAAGTGACAGACAAAGGACCTCAGAAGTCTCTCCTCTGCTTGATAATGGAGCTACCTTCACCTTTAGCCCTAATTGGTTACATAGGAAGGAACTTTTGATCCACCACAAATTACCTTTCAGAAAAGGCACAGTCAAATTAAATGACACAAATATCATGTCTTGGGTATTGTATAATCTTCCTCTGGTGCAAGTAAATTTAAAACTGGGTTTGAGACCGCCATTAGAGGCCAAATAAAAGTATTAGAGGTGGGAAAGATATAAAGTTATATATTATTGCATTCTCCTTCACTCCCTCATTATTACCTCTTGATATTAGTAAGGCACAGTGGATTTTGTTATTTATTTCTCATATTAGTCTCAGGACGCAATGGTTTCACTAAATGAACCCTTAATAATTTTTGAGCAAGGGGCCTTGCTTTTCATTTTTCACTGGGTTACAGAAGTTATGTAGCTGGTCCTTCCTGTTGACATTGGCTGTGTCATTCAGTGCAACAGCATGTGTCTTTCAAATGGATTATAGCAAACAGCTGCCACAGGCATATTTTGAGTCAAAATCCTAAGGAGTCTAAATTGGTGGTCTCATTTAACTTTTCCTAAAGGGCTCTAGTTTGGGTATGCCCTAATATCATCTGACCAGTTGGATGGGATCATAAGGGCCTAATGTTATTGCCTGTGCTACCACCTACCACGATACTTTTCATGCTTATTTCTGTTCAGTACCTGCAGTGAGTTAAGTAGTGCTCTTCTGAAATTATTATTCATTCAGAATCTCAGAAGGTGACCTTCTTTAGAAATTTGCACATACAATTAGTTAAGATGAGCTCCTACTAGATTAAGGAGGGTCCTAATTCCAATGACTGGAGGTGTTTTTATAAGAAGAGAGGACACATGGAGAAGAGATTGAAAATGAAAGCAGAAATTGGAGTAATAAATCTATAAGTAATAAAGCTCCAAAAATTTGTAGGAGAGAGTAGAACCTAGGCAGGGGCAAGAAAAGATTTTTTTCTGTGGCTTTTCAAGGAAGCGTGACCCTATTGACTCCTTGGCTTCAGACTTCTAGCCTCCAGAACTGTGAAATAATAAATTTCAGTTGTTTTAAGCTACCCAGTCTGTGGTAATTTGTTCCAGCAGCCCTAGGAAAGTACTACAATGCTGTATTCACGTTCTGAACTCTTTCCAGTTATTTTGTGAGTATGGGTAGACAAGATTCTTAGAACAGTCTTGACAGTCTCTGAGTTTATTGCTTATTGGTGGGTCCTATGAAATATAAATTACTTCTCACAGTTTAAGGAATGTCCTAAGTTGATCTGCACTAATTTATAGGATTTAGTTGGAGTTTAAGGAATGTCCTAAGTTGATCTGTACTAATTTCCAGGAATTAATTTGCACCTTGGGCTGTGCCTTAAATTCTAGCTGGATTTATCAGCCAGCTTCTATTTGTAATACAGGTGACTATGGTCCTTAACTCCTCTCCTAATTTTTGCTCTGAGAAGAAAATTATCATCATACCATGAAAGTAGTAGATGAACTCTATCTTTTAGGCTATTCTTTACCAGATTATGGAAATGTGATAATGAATTTTTTTTAAATCCATGATAAGACAGTAAACATATACTTGTTTCTATTCTGCAAAGCTTAAAATTTTCCTACTTGAAATTTAAAAAAAAAAACTCTTAGGAGGCCCCTGAGATTGGTTTAATGCTCTGTTGTAGCTATCTGGAAATTCTTAATAATTTTTGAGTAAGTATCCATGCATTTTCATTTTATACTCAGCTCTATGAATTATGTAGTTAATCTTGATAACATATCAGAGCCTCTTGTCTACTTTATTTTCTGTACATTCTTCATCCTATCAGGTACAGATGAAGCACGCAAATGAACCACCTTGATACTCTACTGTAAATGTCCAGGGGCTACCTACTTATTGACCAGTTAGAACTACAAAAAGGAAGTTAATGTGGGGAGGGGAACTTCCTTCTGAACCATTTTCTTAATTACAACAGTAGTCTCTTATTGCGCCCTTGGAATTCTGCATTGCTTAATATTTACTACTGTGGAGAGCTTGAGCAATTCCAAAGGATCCCATTTGGCAGAGCTGATTAAAATTTGGTGAAGAGTGAGCTCAGTCTTCATCCTCTGTGGAAACACAAAGACGACAATGTCCCATTCATACTGAATGACAATTGCAATTTTGTATTTATGTAAAGGTAGCACAAGCAGGTAATATTCTCTCCAACCACACATTTCAACCTGTAACTTCATCTTTACCTTGGTTTCCTCCCTGATGTTCTCTTCATGCACTCCAGATTTCACTTAGAGCATGTATGAGACTCTTTCCTACCTTCCATAAGGCCTACTGTAAATTCTGCTCTACATCCTACCAATGATAAGAAACTTTGAATACCACCCCAGGTAACTTTGTTCAAATTATATATATGGCCTCAGATCCATGACTGGGGCTGGAATGAACAGACCTCAGTTCTTTATTTAATTGTTTTCAGATTCTACGGCTTTAATTAAGGCAGTAAACTCAGCCCCCTGTTCAAGTATGTTCTGTTCTATATCACTATCCTCATAATTGGATTTGAACTCTTTCAGCCACAATAAATAAAGCAAATTTTCTATGATTCTTTAAGGGATTGGTGGGGGCTACAGTACTCCTCTCCTCTGATTCAAAAGTTGATAATGTGCTTTTATTTTCTTATTAAAAATTCTATCAAGGCTTACTTTTTAAATCCTATTTATATTTTCTTCAAAAGTAAATTAATTCAAGTGAGCTGCCTTTCTATTTTCTCTTCTGATTTTTAATTTCTCCCTGTTGTGCACATGATATAAATGCTTTTTCTCCGTATAATCCCATGTATAGTAACTAAACCTGTATGTTTGTTACTGTTCTCTGAATATATATATTTGGCCCTCAAGGTTATATAAGTCTTGTAAGACAGAGAATCATTAGCTTATCCCATTCACTCTATCTCTTATTATTTGTATCAATAGCATTAACTAAGGTGTTTTCTCTCTGGAAAATATAAAGCCTGTCAACATTTACACTTGTATCATTCCTATCATGTGAAAAGGAGAATCCAATTGGCAATTTGGAGAGGAGTAGTAGCAGTTACCCTTCTCAGTATAGGACTGACAAATCTCACCTTAACAACTGCAGCCGATATGCTGTCACAGTATTTGGAAGTGTTTTCTCAAAAGTTTACAGCCATTTAATGATTAGCCATGACCATGAATAGTCCTTTGCATCAGATAATAATAGAATTGCAACATGTCCTCCATCATTAATTTGAAGAATCCATGCCAATGTTAATTCACCAGTCTTCTGTTAGTGAATACTCTGTTCTTTAATAAAATATAGTTTTCACTCATCACCTGTCCTTGGACTCCGGTTACATAAATAGTTTGTCCAATAATCAATATTTTGAGTCATTTCTAAGGATACATGAAATTTCTCCAAGAAACCAGGGAGGGATAAGAAGGTTTTCCAGTGAATAAAATGTAATCTCGCAGCTTTTTCTCCCACTATCATCTCCTCCTATTAAAAACTAACCTATTAAAAGGTTAGCTTTTACAGGTATGCTAGCAGGAGTCAGTCAATGGGATTTGCACCCAATTTCCCTTTGTCCATGTACTCCCTAGACCCGTACTCCCAGACTGTAGTCTATGGCCCCCAGATTTCAATGGTAAGACTTATTTCCCTTAACCTGCCTCAAAGATTCCACTACCTCATACCAAAAATGTACAGCCAACTATCCTGAGAACAAATTCTCATATTTTTCCATTATTTCCTTTTGAAAAGGAGCCCAGGTAGAAAAAGAAAACATTCACTATTTTGGTGTGTGGGTCTAAAAGACAATCCTGCTCTCAGTGCCAATCTGAACCCACAAAAAGCATTGAATTGTCAAATCGGACTCACATTGAAGATTTTGCTCAGTATCATGCTTTCTGAATAATTTCAAAGATAAAATAATCATGTATGGGTTAAGTGGGGAGAGACCTGTGTCCTTTCATCTTCATTGAATGTGGTCTCATCCAAGTTTCTAGATTTGGTTTCTAAGTAAAATGTACAGTTGCTTTACTTACTCAGGTGTATTCTCAGTTACAAACCATCTCCTTTTATACTTAGATAGCAACACAGCTAACGTGACATTTTCTTGGGAATCATCACCCTACATTTATTGATTCCTGGCTTATTTTTCATAAGCAATTTTAGACAACTCTGCATGGTCTGCTAGAAACATTTTATGAAGAATGATTCTTTGGCTACCAAAAACTATTTAGTTTATTTTCTAAGAGACTTGCATTAATATGTTTGCAGAAAAATTAAACCAGAACACCTGACTTCTTTATTTCCCAGGAGTTTTCCTCCACACCTGCCCCCATCAGGGGAGAAAATTGATCAGGAGGTACCACCCCTTTCCACACCATTCTTGAATCTATTCTACAGAACTCTCTCACATGGTCTAGCAATATGTTTAAGGTAGAACCCTTTTTCTATCAATATTTCTTATGTGTTAAATTTGCATTATTATATGTTGACTAGAAATTATATATTCCTTCTTAAACATTAATCATAATGAATCTAAAAACCTAATTTATTTCAACCAATAAATTTCTCTTTAATTCCTGTCCTCAACATTCTTGTCCTCAATATTCCTATTGTTACTGTTACAGTTATGAAATCATCTTAATGAAATCACAGCTAGACCAGTGCATTAATTTAAAACAATAGCATCCTTTTTCTATAATTTAACTTCTTCAAACTTTTCTTCACTGTTGTATAATGATAATTACTCTAAAATGACAATCTGATCATTAAAACTTTAATCATTTACTCTCTGCCAATTTCATAAATAAATATTTGATTCACAGTTGTTATTTCTTCTTCAAGATACATCAAATAATCCACCTTTATGAAAAGCAATTTACTGTTTCATAAATGTGCTTTATTATGTCACATATTCAGTCTTTTAAACATTTTGTGCCATCCTTGGTCATCAAATAAATTTCTATCTACTAAACATGACTGACTTAGCAAAACGATAGCCTTAGTTTCATGCATGTCTCCATCAATTTTGGAATTGCTTTTATGCCCAAACTGCAGTGGGAGAAAAACACACAACAAAATTGTGTTGATTGTTATCTCTTTAAAACCACAACCTTGAAAAGCAAATGTGCCTTTAAGGCGGCCAAACAAGCCCATTTTTCTTTTGTTAGCCATTGCCTTCTTCCTCTTATGTAAGATTAACTTATGGATTCTTTCCTCATTTCACACCCCTCACATACTTTTCTTCAATCTCAATGCCAGCTGATGACCTTGTTTCCTGTGTCAAAAAATAAATACATAGATAGATAAATAACAATCAAGAGGAAATGTATGCAGACTCCCACTACTACATATACTTAACGCCAGTATCTAAAATTACACACTACTCATCCTGCATATTAATAGAGCAGGGTCTTTTCTCTGGTACTATGGACAAACTGAGCCAGATAATTCTATGTTTGGGATGGGGTGTTGGAAAGGTTGCCTTGTATGTTGCAGGATGTTTAGCAACATCCCTGGCCTCTCCAATTCGATGCTAGTAGTAACTCCATTCACAAGTTGTGACAACAGAAAACATCTCCAAACATTGCCAATTGGCTCCTTGCAGAGTGAAATCTCTCCTTAAAGAAAACCACTGCCAGAAATGAAATGTTTATACACCTACCTCAAGCTTACGCCTTTACTTGTTCATCAACTCTTTCTGACTACACAGGCTATAGACAGATACTTTTCAATACTTACCCCTCTTATACATAATCAAATTTTCCTCTTTATTGGGTCATTTCATGATCATACAAATAAGCTATTACTTCTGTCATACTAGAAAATAAAAGCAAATAAGCAACCAGTATTCTTCATTTTCCCCATTTTCATTGTCAGATACCACCAGGGAATTTGATCCCTTTTTCACCAAAACTCTTTAAAAGGATAATTTATAGTCACCGTGTCATTTGCTCCTTGCATTTTCTCTTTAATCATTTCATTTCCATACAGATTTTTGCCCCCCACTACTCTAATTAAACCTGTCCTCCACTTTGTTAATCTTATAGTTATTTTTCTCACCTTACTTGATTTATCAGCAGCATTTGAAGTAGATTATTCTCATAATACTATCTTCATTTGACTCCCTGGTTTTATATTATTTGTATACTTCTCTCTCTCTCTGTCTCCCTCTCTCTCTCTCTCTCTCTTTTAGTGTTTTCTTCTATTCCTCAGACTCAATGTTGGAATGCTCCAGGCCTCAGTATTTTATTTCCCCCCACCATCATCTTTCTCTGTACTTCTTTCCTTGGTTATCTCATCCAATCTCGTGGTTTTACATGCAGTGTAAATGCTAATGACTCCCAAATTTATATTTCCATGCCATATCTCTATCCCAAATTCCACACGCATAAATCCAATTGCATTTTTTACACTTCCACCTGAATGTCGTGATGATAATGGGTCTATTTTTCCTGAAACCCATTCCTCACTCTGCCCAGTTCAGTTCATAAGACAGAGGGGATGAACACTGTGGATTATGTAGCTCAGATTTTCTGAAAGCTGGCTTCCAGTTAGGCTCAAACAATAGGAGACACATGTAGAAAGATGAAAGGCAGGAACAAGGAGAAATCTAGATATTGTCTCATTTTCTCCCTGTCATCCCTAATAACAGTTACATTTTTTACAGGCTCCTGCTCCTTTACATAGGCCCACTGTGGTTCCAGCTTCCCCCAAATATCCCTCCCTGCAGCTCCAGTAGTACAGCCTCCTATCCCTGTTCTCCAAGGGAAGGTGATAGTAGCCTCCCATTGTTGCTAAATTGTAGGTTGCCTCACTGTCCCCTGGTTGGCTTTAATTTTTTTAAAGTTATTTCTACCATCAATTACCTGTATCAATTCCCTTTGTTTTAAATTCTCAATGATTTCAGTTTTCCTGGCTAGTTTCTGATTACTTCAGATACCTAATGGAAATCTCAAAGAAAGTATGACTCAAGAGAAATTGTTGATTTCCATCTCCCAGCTACTACCAAACCTGTTTATGCTTATCCATTTCATTTGATGGCAAGTCCTTCCTCTGGTTGCTTAAACCCAAAGACTTTATAATATGTAGAATCAACTACTTCTCACCATGTCTACTGAGGTGTGAATTACTACTGTTTTCCTCTTGGATAAAGTCAATATCTAAAGAGGGGACTTTTCCTAAAAGTGTCCTCTTACAGTCAGTTACCAACACAATATCCACAGTCATCCTTTTTACATAAAAGAGCGTGTCACTTCTCTTCTTAGGACCTGTAGTGACCCTCTCTTTCATTGATGGTAAAATTCTAAGGCAGTGTGAGTTTTAAAATACCCTGTAAATATGTACAATTATTATGTCATTTAAATATAATATATATTTTTAAAAATTAAAAACGTATATCAAGGCCCAAATTACTTCTGTGTGCTCATCGTTAACTCCCCTTCCTCACTCATCTCCAGCCACACTGGTTTCCTTGAACCCCTTCAAACAAGCCAGATATGGGGCTGTCTTGGGCTTTTGCACCGTCTTTTCCCTCTGCCTGGGTTCCCTTCTTTCAGATATCTACATGTTTAATCCCTCACCACCTTTAAATTTTTGCATAAATGCTATCTTTTCAATGATGTTTTCTATGGCCTCCCTACTTAGCATCTCAACCTGTTTCTTGGACCAGCATTAGAAAATGAATATAGAGAGATGAACACAATATATATGGCCCTGCCCTCATAGTCCTAGCAATCTACAGGGACACAAAATAATATGCAAAAAAGTATTTGAATTATCTTCAGCACCTTTCTAAAGAAAAAAAGCTACTTAAAACTTACACTTAGAAATGCTCAATATGAGTCAATACATTATGTCACCACCTAAAGTAACAAGATGTTAGGCTGCAACTGCTGTATGTTTTGAATGAGACTCATTACACTATGAAGTCACATACTTGTTTAATATTATAATAAGACAGAACTAAATTTAAATCATAGTTATACCAAACACTAGCTACACTGAATCTCTACATCTCAATGTTCTCACCAGCAAAATCAAGCTTATAATAATACTAGCTTCTTCAAGTTATTTAAAAGATAAATGAGCTAAGACATGTAATGCTCATAGCCCATTTAGAAAGGCAAAATATAAGGTATAGTACATAGAAACCACTGACCATTGGTAATTCTGAAACACTACAGGTCAGACAGTTTGAATGAACCATATACTAAAGGTTGGAAAAGTTATTTGATTAAACTCTGCCTTTTTTTTTTCTGGGAAGAACACATAGATTAATCACTTTGTATAATCCCAACCTCTCCCTTCTTGGGAGTGGGGATAGGGGAAACAGTTTTCATCATCTATGATCTTAAGTTTCCTCATGCTCTTTCTCATTGTTAAGACAATACCACTTATTTTAGCTTATTGTTACAATAGTATTTCATTTTTTTCTAACAACTTGGTATTAGTCAAGATGGGATATAATAACAAATGACTCTTGAAATCTTCATGGGTGCCATGGGAAGTTTCAAGAACACAACTTGAAAGTGAATTGCATGACTTTGTTCTGTGTTTCATTGACCACTACTCATTCAGTGAGCCTGAAAGTAACTGTGTATATCACTGTTAGTATACTATGCATGCCAGATACCCAAGACTCAAACTTTTCCTTTCCTTTAGATACCACCTACTTAGTCATCAATTTTGGTTCAACCTACTCCACTAAATAGCTTTGACTTCCATTCACTTACCACTTTAGATTAGTGCTATAGACTCCTATTTTACCTCCTTCATATCAATCCCCTTAAAACTCCCAATAGCTTCCATTGTTTCAACCAAAAGCTCAAATTCCTTTAATATAAAGTGTTATATGAACTGGCACCCTATATACTCTATATCCTAATCTCTCATCTTTCATTTATTTCTTTAACTCCTGACTCATGTAACAAAAATGTATTTATCTCAGCACGTATGTACTCCCTTGTTATGCTCTCCCAAATGTCCCTGTATTTTTCATTGAATAGCAATTGCCACATTTTATTTTATATGCTTGTGTTACCATTTATATATATATTTACTACAGACTCTGCTTTTAGAAGGCATACACTGGCCAGGCGCAGTGGCTCACACCTGTAATCCCAGCACTTTGGGAGGCTGAGGCTGGCGGATCATGAGGTCAGGAGATCGAGACCATCCTGGCTAACACGGTGTAACTCCATCTCTACTAAAAATACAAAAAATAAGCCGGGCGTGGTGGCGGGCGCCTGTAGTCCCAGCTACTCGGGAGACTGAAGCAGGAGAATGGTGTGAACCCAGGAGGCGGAGCTTGCAGTGAGCCGAGATCGTGCCACTGCACTCTAGCCTGGGCGACAGAGTGAGAATCTGTCTCAAAAAAAAAAAAAAAGAAGGCATACACTGTGATATTTGCAACATCAAACAAACAAACAAACAAACTAAAATTGGAAGAATACCCAAAAATAACTCAAAGGAATAATTTTAATTTCAATTAATTGATTATGGCCTTTATCATTTTAAGATTTTTATATGTCTACTTTTATGAACTCTAGGCTAGTTTTTTCCACTTTTATTTCTACAATCATGGGGCCTATTTTATATTTTCTCTTGCACTTGATTATAGAAGAGATTGAAATGAGTTAGGAAACATGTACTTGAAACCAATAATGGGCACACTTTACAGGATTTCAAAATCTAAAAATATCATAACATAACTTCAGGGAAGAGTAAGAAGTATTGGTGTCATTTTTTTCCTTTTAGTAGATTAGTTGAAGAGGTAAATTGAACATGGACTATATGTCAGACTTTTTTTTCCAAATTATATTCTTAAATATATAGTAAAACATATGCTAGAGACAGTTTTTTAATAACAAACAATATTTGAATTGAGATCCTGAAGAAAAATAAATTAACTGTGTAAAAATGTATTACTAAATATCTGCATTTTCTAGAGATGTATCCTTAAGTATGTAGGTATAAAATTACACTCTGAGATATATTTTTAAAATAATTTGGCAAGAAGAGAACAGGGATACCTTAAGCAGAAACAACAAAATTATGATAATTGTTGAATATGTGTGATGGTTGTATGTTAATGTATTGATTATTTTGTGTGGGTATGAAAACATGATAATAAAATCAAATTACAAAAAAATAAAAAATACCTCTTGCTTTTTTAGCAGCTTATTACATTGTTTATAACAGTGTCTACAGCGCTATGATTGGTCAGAGCCAGAGACTATAACATTTAATAAAACGAGTCCTCTAGAAGCTCATGGGAGTTCATTTACGGCAGCAAAGACCTATATTAAATGGACTGAATATTTAAGGAGTAATTATGTTGAGTAATGTGTTTATTTATAGTTTTAATTATACATTATCTTTTTTGGTTATCTTTAAAATATATTAAGCTTATGCAAATAGGATATGCATCATAACCCAGGATCTATTATCTGAATTGCTTATATACTTATAATAACATAACTTTAAAAGAAAGAATCAAACCATATTGCTAGCTTACAGGTTGGATCTTTCTAGACAATAGTTATTTACCTGAATGTTTATTTTTGTTTTGCATCTTCATCAGTTAAAACCAACAGTTACAATACAAATGAAAGTTAAAAAATAATAATATTATTAATGTGAAATTTCAATGTGCTTAGCAATAAATAATGGGAATAAGAATTATCCAGGATGTACTAAATGCTACAAGAATTATATAAGTCTAATGAACATGATGCTTTTGAACTTAAGTAAATTCTATGTGCTTAACTATTTTTATTGTTTATAGATTTAGGACTTCTGAATGCATTCTTTTTTGCTGTTATGGGATATTATGAATTCACCTTAGTAGACTTTTGCTTACAGGACATAAAATTAATTTATTCTATGAATTTTTTCTTCTTTTCCTAAAAATGTGTAAGTTCTGTGATTTCTTGGACTAAAAGATATCTATTTACATAGTGAAAGGCCAGGCCTTGTAAAGATCGTGACAGTATTCAATCCTATTCTCGTTTTTTTGTTTCAATGTGTTGCTAGTTATCTTATCTCAGTGTATTGTATTTATATAACTGCATATTTGATTAAGATACCTAACCTATGAGACATATTAACATAATGAACACATGTAAGCACACAACCCAATTTAAGCATAAGAACAGTATCAATAATTTTGCAGTTATCTTTCACTCTTTTTCAGTCACACAGAGACAACTATACTCTTAATTTTGTGTTTAGAGTCCTCTATTTTCTTAATAGACAGATTGCACATGGTTAAAGGTCTATGTTTACATCAAGAGAGCCTGTGTCTGGATCTTGTTCACCCCGCTTATGTCTCTTTTGAAGTTATGCTTAAGCTTTATCCCTTGTTCCTTTATGGAAATTTGAGTATTTTAGGAAAAGTAAAAAAAAAAAAAAAAAAGAAACTTTAAAGTAGAATGATAAAATCTAGTGTTTTTAGATACAGAAGTGAGAAGCTGAATACGGGTAAAGCATGATGGACTATGGGAAGAACGGAATTTCTTGTGTGTGACTGCTCATTCAATAAGCTATATTTTTTAAAGACCTGAACAGGTTATAGCTATTGGTTATCTACAAGTGGAATTCTCAAACACGAAAATGAAAGCCTGACAAATAAGATGCTAATGCCATTTTCACTTAAAAAATAGAACAAGCGAAAGAGAGAAATAAAAGCACTAGCCCAGTAAGAACATCTTCTATTTGCCTTACTCATAAGCCATTTCAGGGCCATAGCTGCAAAACTAGGAAGAAACTGCTAAGTGCTAAAACATTTTAACCAATCACTTTAAGAAAGGCAGAGGAAGCAAATCACTCTAGTAGATAAAACAGGAGAGACTGAAGTTGCTATAGTTGTAATCTTTTTAAAAATAATCTATTTGTTTTGAAGAAAACCCCAATAGGAAGGTGTTTTCATTTTTAAAGGTATCTCTCTTCAGATACTATTTAATACTCAATGTGCTAATAATGTCAAAAATTGTTAAATGCGTATATATCTGTATTTCAAATAGGATAGTTTATCAAGTCAGGTTTTCCAAGAAGCTGATACTATGCAATTATAAGTCACTCAAAAGGTTATGAGAGGAACGTTAGTTAAAGATTAAGAAGAAAAAGCAGATCTAAGTGCAGGGAGTCTTCAGTGATGCAAGCCTGGCTTCTGTCAAAGGAGGGGAAGAAGGATGAGAATGAAAGAGTCACAGCCTGAAACACAGTTTAGGAAGTTTTGGCCCGGACAATAGGAGTCTCCAGTCCAAAGTCTTCTGTTGGAAGGTTATCACAAATCTTAAAAATGGCCTTCATCAATACTCCGAGCATGCTCAGTCATTGGCCAGGAACAGCCAGAGAAAATATGGTCTGAGTGCAAAGATAGTCATACAACCAGAAAAACAGTAGCTGGGGCTGCCTGTCATCCATGCTCACTGAAGCAAGAGTTGTGAGTGGTGACCACATATATCAAATATTTCTATGAAAAAAACAAAACAAAACAAAACCCAATCAAGTGAAACTCCAAAATGATAACCTTTAATGCTTATTAGGTGGCACAAGTGTTAGGTTGGGTATTTTACTAAATATTTAATCATTATATATGCACATATTTATGGGCATGTGAGCTTAATTTCTGTTTTTAAATTCAGAATGCTTCAATAATAACATTGCATTTTATATAATCCTGATTTTCTTTTTTAAAATCAGCTCAAAAGGAGAAGTTAAATATTCAGCTTTAATTTCACCAGTAGATTTTTAATGTTTTGTAATCATAATGTTTAATTTGTGCTGTTCTTAGAACTTTAATTATGAAGCTAAATTGTACTAATACCCATTAGGTACTTCTTAATTGAAGGCACATCATATGTCTGATGTGGCAGTACTAATTGGTGTAATTAAATTCTAATATGCTTCAGTAGCCTGATTTTTTTAAGGGAATAAAAAGCTGATAGAAATAAGTCAGCTCTTGAAGCTGCATAGTTGTATAATACATACACGTGTTTGCATTTGTAACATGCACATTTATTCAGAAGAAACAACTCATTAATTTATTCCAAAACCATTTCACCTGATAACTTAAAATACAGAGTAAAACAAATTGGTCAGGTAAATATACATGTAACTTAAAAAGAAACAGTCATGTACTTTAGGCATAAGGACAATGCTTTTCTCTTTTACAAATTCTAAGTTAGGTCAAATTCTCTGAAAGTCACTACCTTTCTTTACTGTGATGTGTTTTCGGTGAAGTTACAGCCTATTTGCAAATCACATCACTGGTTTGTCCAAGCAGAGGTAGATGAGAGGTAAGCTCCTGTCCTGCTAAAAGTCTCCTAAAAACAGCAAGAAAATATTTTTACATGTTCAAAAATGCTCATTTATTTATATTCCTAAATTTTCTTTTACTCAGTATAATATAGATAATTTAAAAATAAGTAGAATATTTTTATTATATATGTTTTATTTTTATACATCTAGTTAAATTAATAGTGGAACATTATATATCTGTTAAATGTTTTAAATTACATGGAATTAAAATATCAAAGTTAATTATGTTATTATAATTTTTAAATTTCAGAAACCTTCTTTAAAATTCTTACTGTTTTATCTTAAAAAATTCATATAGAAATTGTGGTCAGATGTAAACTGTGACTCTGAGCACAAATCCCAATGCTATTGCCAATTAAATTCCAATTTTTGTGTTCACACATGAAATGTAGTTTTTCTTTTATTGAGTTTTAAAAATCTGTAAGATTTACCTATCTGAATATACACTCAGGTCTAGCTTCATGTTCCTGTGACCTCTGTGGTCACACAAGGACCCATGTACATAATGACCTCATACTTGGCCTAATGCTCTGCTGTTGCCATCTTGAAACGCTTAACACTTTGAACGAGGTACAACATCCACTTCATTTTGCACTGGGCCCTGCAAATCACGTAGACAGTCATATATGAGTCCAGTATTTTCCTACCACCAGACATTTTGATGTACTGAAGAGATAAAAAAAAAAACCTAATAATTAGAAGTTTTAAAAGAATTTTTTTTTTTTTTTTGGAAGACTAGAGTTTTATTACTGAAATCAGTCTCCCCCAAAATTTAGAGACTGCATTTTTTTATTTTTTTTTTATTTTTTTATTGATAATTCTTGGGTGTTTCTCACAGAGGGGGATTTGGCAGGGTCATGGGACAATAGTGGAGGGAAGGTCAGCAGATAAACAAGCGCCTCTGCCCGGCCGCCCCTACTGGGAAGTGAGGAGCCCCTCTGCCCGGCCAGCCGCCCCGTCCGGGAGGGAGGTGGGGGTGTCAGCCCCCCGCCCGGCCAGCCGCCCCGTCCGGGAGGGAGGTGGGGGGGGTCAGCACCCCCGCCCGGCCAGCCGCCCCGTCCGGGAGGTGAGGGGCGCCTCTGCCCGGCCGCCCCTACTGGGAAGTGAGGAGCCCCTCTGCCCGGCCACCACCCGGTCTGGGAGGTGTGCCCAACAGCTCATTGAGAACGGGCCAGGATGACAATGGCGGCTTTGTGGAATAGAAAGGCGGGAAAGGTGGGGAAAAGATTGAGAAATCGGATGGTTGCCGTGTCTGTGTAGAAAGAAGTAGACATGGGAGACTTTTCATTTTGTTCTGCACTAAGAAAAATTCCTCTGCCTTGGGATCCTGTTGATCTGTGACCTTACCCCCAACCCTGTGCTCTCTGAAACATGTGCTGTGTCCACTCAGGGTTAAATGGATTAAGGGCGGTGCAAGATGTGCTTTGTTAAACAGATGCTTGAAGGCAGCATGCTCGTTAAGAGTCATCACCAATCCCTAATCTCAAGTAATCAGGGACACAAACACTGCGGAAGGCCGCAGGGTCCTCTGCCTAGGAAAACCAGAGACCTTAAAAGAATATTTTTAAGAGTTGTTGTTTGTTTGTTTGTTTTTTAATCCTAGATGTCTCAAGCTTGCCTTCCATTAGATAATGCAGTAAGGAACCCCCAGTTTACAACACAGGGCAGGCAGGAAGACAACCAACTCAATGGGATCTCTGTCCTGTGCAGTCATCACCAGCTGATCCTTCTTTTTCTCCGCTAAGGTGGTGACAGCGTTAACCCCCATTAAAAGGACAGGTGATCTCTCAGTGGGGATGTCTCCTTTGCTTTCTTCTCAGCCCAGGCCAACAGTCTCTGCTGCTTCTCTTGCTTTGTCTCTGGTCTGTACTTGCCAGCCAGCTTACCCCATTGAGCAGCTGTTTGGTGGTCCAAGGCCCTGGTGAACTGACTAATCACAGAAGGCACTTCTAGCTGCTTATAGAGGATGGCTCTCTGCTGCTGCAACCTAGTATAATGGGGCCATTTGACAAAGCAAGTGAGGTCCCTTTTGGGCTGGATGTTCTGTCCAATGCCAAAATGTCCTGTCCAGTGCCAAATTTCTCAAATGGAAGATTCACCACTTTCATGGTCTCCTGCTTTTTCAAGACCGCAAGGGTCAGCACCACCTTCTTCCCTTTGGCCTTCTTTCTTTTTCGCACCTTGGGTAGCTGGAGAACAGAATAATAAGATCTTGAGAGAAAAATAAGTTGAAGCCAGAGGTAAAACTGAATATTGGTAATATCTTTTTGTTTTAGGGTTGCTTTCCATTTTAGAAAGTAATTCAGAGTGTTATTTTTTAAAAATCATATATCAGAGTTCTCTAATAAATTTCAAACTTAAAAGAACATTTAACTTCATAAGAGAAGAGAAATGTTTCATGAACATATTTTAAAGATAGGGAAACTAGAATACAATTTGGAGTAAAACTAATATTTTAAGTAACCTGGAGATAGGACTCATATCTTTTAATAGAACATGCATTCTAACAAGCCAGTGATTTTTCAAAGTTTTCTAAAACACTTTTCTCAAACCACATTTAACCTAGAAGTAGAAACAAATAAAAGACACAAAATTAGAGTTAATTTTATTGTAACTGGGTTGGCTCCAGAGATTATAGTTAGGAAGTGATTACATTAAGCTCTACATATGCAGCATTCTAGCAAATTTCAATGCAGTAGACAAAATCTATAAATAATGTGAAACACATATTAACATGTTAAGCATAATATGCATTCATTGTCTTCAACAGAATAGTTCTCTATTAATTTTTTAAATGTAATACAATTTTACTTTAAAAACACTGAAAAATCAACATATTTCATTAAGAAAAAATTATAAATGTTGCAAAATGATGATGAAAATATGTATAGTAATAATTCCCAACTATAACAATTTTGTTTTATCTAATACTGGTCAGCTTTCCATGTGTCCAAGCATTACAGGACTTTTCATTAAGCCTAATCCTCACAAGAACATTGCTTTGAGCGATGTTCCAGAGTGGTAGTCCTTTAAGGCATTAGAACGATTTGTGAAATCCCTAAAAATACTAGGGGAAATATTCAAAAAATGACAATAGTGCCATTATTCCTCCTCCTCAAAGAGACTATCAGAACTAAAACTCTTTGCTTCATGTTCCTGTTTACTTCTGTCACTTTCAAGTCACAGAGGTATTATCAGACTGTCATCATTGTATGACTCTGCTTTTCCAACAGAATCAATTACCTATCCCTTATCTCACAACTTGATAGTGATAGATATTGAATGCTTATGTTCTGATTAGCAAACTCTTTTTGCATTTTTAATAACAACTTGAACTCCTGATATGTCTGGAAAATATAACCCCTTCAACAGCCCTTTCAATGGGTTGCTACTATTTTGCTCACCCCATCTTCACCTGCCTAATCATGAGGAGGCGGGGTATATACAATTTCAGTTAATTTGTAGTTATCAGTCTATTATAGTTCTTTCCTTCTGAAAACCAACAAGTAAATAAACCAGCAAGCATCACCAATAAACTTTGACAGTTTATGGTTCATAACGTACGTCTACACCAAACTTTCCATTCAAATGCTTTTTCAAACCTTTGTTTGGTTTCTTTCTCTATTAAGACAACTTTTGCTTTTGGCTTTCAAAGACATTCTCTCCATTATAAACTCTGTCGTTATTCTCTATTGTGCTTACCTCAAACTGGTAACTCTTTCAAATCTTACCTGTCAGTTTCTTGACCACCATGCATGTTAATAACATTTCTTCTCTATTTTAGACAGCAAATGTTTCTCAATATTAAAAAAAAAAAAAAATCCTACTCTTTGGTCCTCTCTACCTCCCATTTCATCCAATATCGCTTGTTCAAGACCTGAACTCGTACAGGTTTTTAACCTGTTGAAGACTGTCACTCTATGGACTCTACTCTCTTCTCTCTCCTCCATAGCCTTCTCATTGCCTATCTTCCCTACTTGTCCAGGAAATGATGACATGTTTCATCACTATAATTAATCCATTTCAAATGGCCTTTATGCCAAATGATTTTATTATATACTCTTTCTGTGCCATGCCTTGTTTTCCAAATTTACCACAGTACAAATTTTACAATTAGTTTTCCATTACTGAATTAGTACCAATCTCTGTCTTAAAAAATAAATACAGTAAAAAATGATAATGAATTTATTTCTTCTTATAATACTATCACTGGTGCATGGTTAGAATAAATTAATCTTAGGATGATATAAGCATTTCTCCAAATGGTCTTCAAATTCATTGATTTTTTTGTGATTTCAATTTCCATATTTATTGTTCCTGTTGCAATTTTTTCAGATTTTATATGTATTAACTCAGAACACATACCTCTTATCACACATATTTTTTCATGTAATTTATCTAAATCTTATAGAAAAGGGTACATTTGCATTTTCTCTTATTAGACTCCTGATTTCAAATAATATATTACTTATGAGTATTTTTCTGTGCTGTAGTTATTCATTCTCATAGATATGTAACATAATTCCTTTTGCAAAGGTAAAAATTGAGCTATCTCTTGTTGAGGATTTGTTGATCTCTGTCTAAAGTTTCAAAAATAAGAACTTTAAAAGCAAAATGTAAATTCCTTTCAAGTTTTAGTAAAATTACTTCAAACTTAGTAGCTTAAACAATACAGATTTATTATGTTACAGTTCTGTAAGACAGAAATCTGACTTGATCACACCATGGTAAAACCAAGATACTGCCAGGGTTGGTTTTTTCTTGGGGGGGGGTCTGTGGGAAGAGTTTGTTTCCTTTGGTTTTCCACAGCCCAGAGGCTGCTTGCTCCTTTGATCACTGTCCCTTCCTCCATTTTTAAAATGAGGAATGGAGTCAGGGTGACTATGGTTAGCAATATTGTATTGTATATTTCAAAATAGCTAGAAGAGAGGATTTTTGAATTCTCTCACCGTAAAGATATCAAAGATGTATGAAGTGAAGAATATGTTGAATATCCTGATTCAATATTTAAACTATACATACACGTGTTGAAACATCACACTGTATCCCATAAATATGTACAATAATTATGTGTCATAAAACAAGATTTAAATTGTTTTAAAGGGCCAGCAATGGCAGTTTGTGAGTTCCCATCTCATCACTCTAACTTCTTCTGCCTCCTTCCACTTGTAAATGTCCTTCTGATTATTTTGGTCCCATCAGGATAATCCAGAATAACTTTCCTATCTTAATATCAACTGACGAACAACCTTAGTTTAGTCTACAATTTCAATTTTCCTTTGCCATGCAACTAACATATTCACAAATTCTGGGGACTAGAATGTGGACACCCGTTGTATTAGTTTGTCCTCACACTGCTAATAAAGACACAGCTGAGACTGGGTAATTTATAAAAGAAAGAGGTTTAACTGACTTATAGTTCCACATGGCTGGTGAGCCCTCAAAATCATGGTGGAAAGCGAATGAGAAGCAATGTTGCATCCCACGTGGTGGCAGGCAAGAGAGCTTGTGCAGGAGAACTCCCGTTTATAAACCCAGCAGATCTCGTGAAACTTATTTACTACCACAAGAACAGCATGGGATAAACCTTCCCCATGATTAAATTCTCTCTACCTGACCCCATTCTTCACATGGAATTATTACAATTCAAGGTGAGATTTGGGTGGGGATACAGCCAAATCACATCATTTGTGGAGAGCTGTGATTCTGCCTACCACAAGTAAGATGTACAAAGCATGGAAGGAGCTACAGCCAGAAACAATTATACCATTGGGAATTTCTAGCAGAATAAATAGCAGTTATTAACTGATAAGTTAATAGATTAAGTAAACCTAAATAATTGCCTTCATTAGCAGCGAGGCTTTTGATGGTCCATGTATCACAGATATTTAAACACAAATACATTTTTCTCATTTATTCCAATAACAAAGTGTTTTTTGGTTTGTTTTGTTTTGTTTTTGAAAGTTTGGTATGAGAGAGAAAGAGATGAGCTGATTTGACTACTCCAGGCTAGAGGATATGTAGCTGAGAGTCTATGGCTGAGTGGAGGAAAAAAAAAAATCACAAGCCCTGTCCAGGATAACAGAGAGAGAAAGCTGTTTCTGTTGAGATTTGATGGCCCCCATCACACCAAATTTGGGCTTCTAGCTAGCCTCAGTTCTTCAGATAACTGACCTTCCTTCTTTCCTCCCTCTTGTAATAGTCTTTGTGTATTAGAAGTACCTTGAAATGCTGGGTCAGAAAATGTGGCACGAAAGAGAAAAGCTGGCTCACTCCACATCTTGACCTGATCATTTCCTGAACATGATTGAGGTGGATGACTCTTTGCTCCTCTTTGGCTGACCTGCAGGAATAACATTGGGAATAAGCAAATCTCCTTTGGACTCCAGAGGGTGGTGGTCAGGAAGTGGGCCATTGAGAACCTAGGTGGAAATGCAGGCCAGATTATTGGAGTAGTTTGCTTTATAATGTTAAAATATTTATACACATGTTATGTGGGCCTCTATTTCCACTCTTATCTTAGAGCCCACACGTATTATGGAGGGTCTAGCAGTGTTTGTGGAGTTTTTGGTACTATACCTTTTTCAAGATAAAGTAAAAAACATTTATGGATAATTTAATTGTTCCCTATGTAGATTCCAGTGCCAAATTCCTCTCTTAGACACTGTTTCTAGTATAACATGTTAATATGTGACCCCTGTTTCACTTACAGATTTTTAGAGATCTATCCCAGGTTACTTAATTCAACTCCAAGACATACTTTTCTTTTAAATGCAGGGAATAAAGGGTCAGTTACTTAGTTACTCCGGTTTTATTTAATCCTACTGTCATCTGACAATATGGTACTGATACTATTTCCTATTTCTAGATGGTTGCTAGAAATATACTGTAATATTTATTCTTGATATATGTTTGTTACTTTAACGGGAATACATAGGCTATAAATAGTCCCCTTGCCTCTCACAAGTTAGACAGTCCTGCCCAGAATGCCCTGCTGAAGAGTTGTAGCAGATCACCCTGTTCCTCCTTAACCTCTCTGTTCCTCATATGCTCACCTGTAAAATAGTGATCATAGTAACACCCATCTTGTGATGATGTAGAGAGGTTTAAAGAAGCAAATTAGGGGAGGCCAGGCATGGTGGCTTATGCCTGTAATTCCAGCACTTTGGGAGTCCAATCACTTGAAATCAGGAGTTCGAGACCAGCCTGGCCAACATGGTGAAACCCACTTCTACTAAAGCAAACAAACAAACAAACAAAAAACACAAAAATTAACTGGGCATTGTGGCAGTTGCTTCTAATCCCAGCTACTTGGTTGGCTGAGGCAGGAGAATCCGCTGGACCCAGGAGGCGGAGGTTGCAGTGAGCCGAGGTCACACCACTGCACTCCAGCTTGGGTAACAGAGCAAGGTTTTGTCTCAAAAAAAAAAAAAAAAAGAAAGAAACCAATTAGGGTGGAAACACTTAGAGCAGGGTGTTCATAAGTTGTCACCCTCTTGAAGCAATTGTTGGACACTATTTTAAAAATGTTTTACTTCTGAGTGAAATGTTGCATTTTATTTTACTGGAAGATTCTTATGTAGTTTAAGTACATTTTACGGTATTGTCAAAGAGCATGAGCAAAATATTTAGGAAAGATGAGACCATATTTCTTTTATTTATGACATTGCCACAAAAAATCAGGTAGATGAATTTGTATTAAGTTTTTGTACCAATTTCATATCTAAAATTTCAAAGAATTTTATTGCAACAAACTCTTTCTTACCATTAACTCAAAAAAATTCTGTTTTAAATTGACTTCATTCCATAAGTCTCTACACTACTAATTTGGCCAGAAGTTATTTTCAATCCTAATTGGGAACAACAAAGATCCACATGATATCCTTTCAATTTATGATGTTGAAGAAAGTTGAATTGTAATAATTTGAGTGTGCAGTCAAAGCAATTTTCAATACTATGTATCACTGTAGAAACAAGGGAGAATGTCTTGGTTAACTATTTAAGTGGCTTGAGTATGGCAATTAAAATTTCATCTAAGCTCATTTTGATGAATCTTGAAGGTGACATTTATTTCTTATGCTCTGAACATCGTAAGTTCTGTTGATTTTTATGGGAAGTTTTCAAGGTCATTTTCAGAGATCTATGACAAAATGACATTATTTGAGAAAAAAAAGAAGAAATAGCTCGAAGTTTAAAGCATTATGGTATTCCCTAAGCCCAAAATTTTCTCCCTTTACAAAAACAAATGAAAGGCAAAATAGACAAACAAAGAAACCATCAAAAATACCTTGAATCACTGTTGGTGGGAATGAAAATTAGTTCGACCATTGTGGAAGACAGTGTGGAGATTCCTCATGGATCTAGAATCAGAAATCCCATGACCCAGTAGTCACATTACTTGGTATATACCCAAAGGAATATAAATCATTCTATTATGAAGACACATGCACACATATGTTTATTGCAGCAGCTATACTACTTATTATAGCAAAGACATGGAACCAACCCAAATGCCCATCAGTGATAGACTAGATAAAGAAAATGTGGTACATATACACCATGGAATACTATGCAGCCATCTAAAGAACTAGATCATATCCTTTGTAGGAACATGGAAACCACCATCCTCATCAAACTAACACAGGAACAGAAACCCAAACACCTCATGTTCTCACTCATAAGTGAGAGTTGATCAACGAGAACACATTGACACAGGGAGGGGAACAACACACAGTGGGGCCTGTTGGGGCGTGGGGGGAAAGGGGAGGGAGAGCATCAGGACTGATATCTAATGCATGCAGCTTAAAACCTAGATGATGGTTTGATAGGGGCAGCAAACCACCATGGCACATGTATACCTATGTAACAAACCTGCAAATTCTGCATATGTATCCCAGAAATTAAAGTAAAATAAAATAAAATAATAAAAACAACAACAAAATGTACCTTGAATCTCCAAAATAAGTTAAGACAAATAGTTAAAATTGAGCATGCTTTTATTAGAAGAAGAAAATGTCATTGACAATATAACAGATAATTTATAGATGGGAACATACGTAAAAACGTATAAGTACTTAGATCTGCTAGATAAAGTGAGTCCCAAATGATAAGGTTACAAAAATAATGTTTTTTTGTAGAATATGTGTTTTCAATGAGAAAGTGTTGCAAAAGTCAGTCATACAGATTGGTAACTTTTATGTTTATTTTTCAAAAGCAGCTCAAAATAGTTCTTTAGATTCTGTAACACCACGGTGTCCTAATTTTGCTCCTAAAATTTTGTCACAAAAGTTTAAATTCACTTGCAAATTGATCTTCATTTAATCTTCCTCTAGGTGTGTAAGCTAAATCAGAGATCTGCATGAACTGCTTATTACTCTTTCATGCTATACATTCTCCCTAGGTAATTTTGATCACTGCAATCTTTTCCATCATCATTTCTACTTGAAGACTAACTAATATAGGTAGAACAAATTTCAACTTCTAGACCTATATGCTTTCCAGATATCTCAAATAAAAGATAAAATTTGGGGAGATATACCATGTTCATGATTTTGAAATAGTCAAGACTGTGTGATATTGTCCTCAAGAAAGACTAAATAGATCAACAGAACAGAATAGAAAATACAAAAACAGATTTATACATATAGTTAAAATCTTTTTTTTTAAATAGCAAGTCAATTCATCAGGGAAAGTATCAGCTTTGAAGAAATGGAAGAGTTTTCAAAGCAAGAAATGTAAAACAGTTGGGTATTTATAAGCAATAGAAAAACAAATTTGATTCATAGCTTGCAAAATATATAAACATTAATAAAAAGCCAACCTGAATGTATTGAAATCTTAGATATAAACATAAGATAAATCTTTGTGACCTTAGTTGAAACAAATAAGTGCTGTATATGACATTAAACATTTAATATGTAAAATAAAATATTAACTTGAACTTCTTCAAAAGTGAAAATTTTTACTCTTTTTTAAAAATTATTATACTTTAAGTTCAGAATGTGCAGAATGTGTAGGTTTGTTACATAGGTATATACATGCCATGGTGGTTTGCTGCACCCTTCAACCCATCATCTATTTTAGGTATTTCTCCTAATGCTATCCCTCCCCAAGCCCCCCACCCCCTGACAGGCCCCAGTGTGTGATGTTCCCTTCCCTGTGTCCATGTGTTCTAATTTTTCAGCTCCCAATTATGAGTGAGAACATGCGGTGTTTGGTTTTCTGTTCCTGTGTTAGTTTGCTGAGAATGATCATTTCCAGCTTTATCCATGTCCCTGCAAAGGACATGAACTCATCCTTTTTTATGGCTGCATAGTGTTCCATAGTGTATATGTGCCACATTTGCTTTATCCAGTCTATGATTGATGGGCATTTGTGTTGGTTCCAAGTCTTTGCTATTGTGAACAGTGCTGCAATAAACCTACGTGTGCATGTGTCTTTATACTAGAATGATTCATAATCCTTTTTCTATTTAGTAATGGGATTGCTGGGTCAAACGGTATTTCTAGTTCTAGATCCTTGAAGAATCACCACACTGTCTTCCACAATGGTTGAACTAATTTACACTTTCACCAACAGTGTAAAAGTGTTCCTATTTCTCCACATCCTCTCCAGCATCTGTTGTTTTCTGACTTTTTAATGATCACCATTCTAACCAGAGTGAGATGGTATCTCATTGTGGTTTTGATTTGCATTTCCCTAATGACGAATGATGATGAGCTTTTTTTTCACATGTTTTTTGGCCGCATAAATGTCTTCTTTTGAGAAGTGTCTGTTCATATCCTTTGACCACTTTTCGATGGGGTTGTTTGTATTTTTTCTTGCAAATTTGTTTAAGTTCTTTGTAGATTCTGGATATTAGCCCTTTGTCAGATGGATAGATTGCAAAAATTTTCTCCCATTCTGTAGGTTGCCTGTTCACTCTGATGATAGTTTATTTTGCTGTGCAGAAGCTCTTTAATTTAATTAGATCCCATTCATCAATTTTGGCTTTTGTTGCCAATGCATTTGATGTTGTAGTCATGAAGTTTTTGTCCATGCCTATGTCCTGAATGGTATTGCCTAGGTGTTCTGCTAAGGTTTTTATAGTTTTAGGTCTTATGTTTAAGGCTTCAATCCATCTTGGGTGAATTTTTGTATAAGATGTAAGGAAGGGATCCAGTTTCAGTTTTCCACTACCCAGTTTTCCCAATACCATTTATTAAATAGGGAATCCTTTCCCCATTGCTTGTTTTTGTCAGGTTTGTCAAAGATCAGATGGCTGTAGATGTGTGGCTTTATTTCTTAGGCCTCTGTTCTGTTCTGTTGGTCTACATAACTGTTTTGGTACCAGTACCATGCTGTTTTGGTTACTGTAGCCTTGCAGTATATTTTAAAGTCAGGTCGCATGATACTTCCAGCTTTGTTCTTTTTGCTTAGGATTGTCTTGGCTATACAACCTCTTTTTTGGTTTTGTATGAAATTTAAAGTAGGTTTTTCTAATTCTGTGAAGAAAGTCAATGGTAGTTTGATGGGGATAGCATTGAATTTATAAATTACTTCAGCAGTATGGACATTTTCATATTGATTCTTCCTATCCATGAGCATGGAATAGTTTGCCATTTGTTTGTGTCCTCTCCTATTTCCTTGAACAGTGGTTTGTAGTTCTCCTTGAGGAGATCCTTCACATCCCTTGTAAGTTGTTTTCCTAGGTATTTTATTCTCTTTGTAGCAATTGTGAATAGGAGTTCACTCATGATTTGGCTCTCTGTTTGTCTGTTGTTGTTGTATAGGAATGCTTGTTATTTTTGCACATTGATTTTGAATCCTGAGATTTTGCTGAAGTTGCTTATCAGCTTAAGGAGATAAGCTGAGACGATGGGGTTTTCTAAATATACAATCTTGTCATCTGCAAACAGAGACAATTTGACTTCCTCTCTTCCTGTTTGAATACGCTTTATTGCTTTCTCTTGCCTGATTGCCTTGGCTAGAACTTTCAATACTATGCTTAATAGGAATGGAAAAGGGCATTTAAAAATAATTTTTTAAAAACTATGAACTGAGAAAACATTTGAATAGCATATATCTTATTGGCCAAGAAAGGTTTATCTCATCAGGACTAATGTTTGTCTTTAGAACTGGCACTTGGCTGGCTTTTGGAAGATAACCTGTGGGCCCTTAATATATTCTGCCTGTTGACAGTGTTTCTATACATCTTTGGCTTTAGAGTACAGTGCACAAGTGGTTTTCAGCGTCTGAGGCCTTGGACCATGCTGTGCTCATTTGAACAGATAAGCTTATCCTAACAATATAATTTAGAGTCAATGGCTATATTTTCTCTGACAGATGCTGTAGTCTGAGTAGCTGAAATCACTCATATAGGCACCACCTTACATGACTGATGCCCAGTAAAAGCCCTGGAGACCAAAACTTAAATGAGCTTCTCTGATTGACAACACTTCAATATGCTGTCAAATATTGTTGCTGGGAGAATTACGTGTGTTCTTATGGGATTCCACTGGGAGAGGACACCTGAAAGCTTGTACCTGATATCTTCTACATTTCTCCCCATGGGCTTTTTTTCTTTGTTGATTTTAATCTGTATCTTTTCATTGTAGTAAACTGTAACTATGAATGTAATGTGTTTTCTAAGACCTGTGAATCATTATAGTTAATCTTTGAGCCTAAGGGTGGTCATAAGGAGCCCCAACACACTAATAAATTACTTTCATAAAGAATATATAAAAGCTGTCAAAAATCAAAAATAAAACAAATCACCCAATTTTTTAAAAGGCAAAAGATTGAAAAAGACGTCATGATAGAAGACATGGATGACAAATAAGTATATCAAAAAATTTTAACATCTGTAGTCATTAAAGAATTGAAAACCACAAAGAAATACTACTGATAGTTATTACAATGTCCAAAGTGAAAAAAAATATTGACCCTACCAGGTATATGCAACAAAATGGAGGAACTGAAACGTTAATATACTTTTGATTGACAACCACTTTGTAAAATAGATAGATTGACAGCTTCTTAAAAAAGTAAACCTATGCTTACCACTTAATCTAGTCATTTATCTTCTAGATATTTCCCCCTCGAAAAATGAAAAAGAAATTGTTGTATATAAATATTCATAGGCATTTTCTCTTTAATAGCTAAAATGTGGTCATGACCCACATATTCATTAACAAGTAATTGGTGATATATACGTACAGCAAAATTCTGCTCAGCAATAAAAAGGTTCGACTACTGACACATGCAACAACATGAATGAATTTCAAAAGAATTTTGCTGTAAAGCAAAAATGCCAGCCAAAAAATAGTGCACCTTATATGATTCCATTTATATAAAACTTCTGGATGCACCAATATACAATATACAGTAATATACAATACTGAAAGATGGTCAGCAGTTGTCTAGCTAAGATGCTTATTAGGAGAGACAATAATTGCAAAAGGGGATTATTAAAAGTAGTCATGAGGAAACATTTTGTGGATTTATATGTTCACTATCTTGACAATAATGATGATCTCACGGATGTATAAATATGTCAGAGCATATCTAATAATTTATCTTACATATTTTTGGCTTTTAATATGTTAATTATAGCTCAATAAATTTCTTAAAAACTCATTGGACTCTATCTGTAATGTGTGTATGTTTAGTTTTAAGTAGAGTGCAGCTAAATTTTTCTCCACCATTACAATTTTCAAACATACTTTCACTTACAGAATAGCATACTGAAAATTAACACATGCTTTTATAATTATAAATAAAATAGTAATATATCATTTCTGCTGAAATAAATGCAAACCAATTACAAGGAATTTATTAGTTTTTATTTTAGTTACTTCATATATATTAGCATCTAAGCCTCAAAGATTCACTATGTAATTGTGTAAATTAGTAGTAGGGTTACCTGAATCTGGCTTAATAGTGAATTAATCAGTATTTATCTTTAAACATTTTTTCCTTTATGAATTGTGTCACACTTTTAAAGAGCCCTTCCTACATTACAAGCATGTATAAAATATATTCTTATACTATTTTAGAATAATTTCAGAAGTTAGATTGTTTTCTAGATTTAGTGTTTTCATTGATACCAAATTTATTTTTATGTACATAAATGTATGATTTTAAGTTAGATTATTTCAAACTGGTATCCCTGCAATTATCTGAACAAAAATTTTTTTTTTTTTTTTTTTTTTTTTTTGAGACGGAGTCTCGCTCTGTCGCCCAGGCCAGACTGCGGACTGCAGTGGCGCAATCTCGGCTCACTGCAAGCTCCGCTTCCCAGGTTCACGCCATTCTCCTGCCTCAGCCTCCCGAGTAGCTGGGACTACAGGCGCCCGCCACCGCGCCCGGCTAATTTTTTGTATATTTAGTAGAGACGGGGTTTCACCTTGTTAGCCAGGATGGTCTCGATCTCCTGACCTCATGATCCACCCGCCTCGGCCTCCCAAAGTGCTGGGATTACAGGCGTGAGCGACCGCGCCCGGCCCAACAAAATTTTTAAGTAGTCACATTGACTTTTTTTTCAAAAGTTAGTTTTAAGCTATTTGATAACATATGGATCTACTTCACTAAAGTTGTATTTTTGTGTGTAATTCTTTAATCCATCTGGAGATATTTTGGTTGTTTTTCGATCAGATAGCCAGTTAAACCAGAAAGAAAAATCTTACCAAAAAGTTTCCACTTAGAAAATTTAATAGCCAAAAAAACTAATATATGCAAGAATGAACAAAAACATATTGATAAAAGTTATACATCATATTTTTATTGAAATATTTCATAATGAAATGTTTCACATGGTTAAAGAACTACAAATTCATCCAGTGTAAATAAAAACTTCATGGGAAATGTATAATATATGAGGGATTATTTGATATCTGAAAAAACTAGATAGAAAATAAATGCTTAAAAACTTCTAGAAGGTAATCCAGTAGAGTATTTATCAGCTTAGGCTAACAAATGATATAAACATGATTAAAGAAGAGCTAAACTTGAATAAAAATATTAAGTTGATGACAAGTGTAAAACACCATTCTTCAAAATATGCAATTACAAATAGGAAAGTGCTAATAGGAGAAAAAATAAGATGTTTATAATGCAAAAAGTATTAACATTCAAAACTGTTGATAATATAAAGAAAGATATTATAAGGAAAAGTATTCCAGTATTAGAGTAGCCTAAGTATAAGGCAATTTGAAGAAAGAAAAGAGGAATCATGAATAGGTTTATCAATCCTGATTCCATCTCACCAGTGATTAGACTGGTAAATAAGAAAATGTGTGATAATACCAAGGGTAATAAAGATATATTTCATTTACATTTACAGTGCTGGTAAACATACACTGTACAACCACTTTGGAGAAAACTTGGAAGTACCTAAAATGTGAAAATGCACAGTTGCTCTTGATCCAGCAAGGGTACCTCTGAGTATATATTGTGGAAAAATTCTCACACATGCATACACAGTGAAACATGTAAGAGTGCTTATAGCAGCAGTGTTGGGATTTTCTTTAAACCCTAGATTTGACCTATATATCTATCAGTAGAGAATCAAAATATAATTCAAGCTATTGTTATACAGTGGGATATAGTACATCACTGATAATTAATACAAATTAATATTACGAACCACTCAAGTTTGAATCAAATATTAGGTCATGGTATAATGAAATTATAAAACTATTTAGAGTTAAAAACAGGCAAAAATGTCACATTTATTTTAGAATTCATAATTGAATAGTAGAAGAAAGTAAAAATGCATAGGAATCATCAACATGAAACACAGGAAAAATAAATGAAACATAGGCAGGTGATTATCTGCAGAGCAAGAAAGTAGAGTTTATTAAGGAGGGCAGTATGAGAACTATCTAAGATATTTTAGGATAAGAAGCGGTTTTGTGAATTTGAATTCATTAAATAACGCTTTCTATTTTGTTTTGTTATTCATCATTTAACATTTTTTTAAAAAATATAAAGAATTCTCATAAGTATTTTTAAACTAGAAGACAAATAAGTGGAATGAAACATCTAAATGTCAAATTTTGGTGTGTACTTCCTATTAATTTCTAAGCAGGGACACCTGGCAAGCAGAAATAACTCTGAGGACATGTGGGATTTTGAATTTTTGGACACCTCTGTAAAGTTATTTGGCAAGCAATAATAATAGCTACCACTTATTTATCAAGTGTTTACTAATGTACTAAGCATTGCCATATATGGTTTATTACTTCTATCCTATTTAGTATTCAAATCAATATGATGTCTATTTTTGTTCTGTTTTAAAAATAAAGAAGCTAACATGTCCAAGCCACATATTTAGTAAGTATTGGAACTACATCAAAACAAGAAAGAAACATTTCAATGGTTTATCCTACTGTCTACTTCCTAAAGGAAAATTATAAATTTACAGTAACTGATCCAAATACATTTCCAGAGTTACTTTAGCTTTCACAGTGTTGGCCAGCACAATGTGTTTTTTGTTTGTTTGTTTGCTTGCTTCCTTGTTTTTTAATTGAGAACATTCCCATAGTTGACTATTTCAATATTTAATTCTCCAATCTTGTATTTTTGGTTTATCTTGATAAACATCAAATAAGGTGGAGGCAGTTTACACTGAATAGACTTAAGAAGCTGATCTTCACAAGAAAGTTCAGATGCTTCATTTTACCACAATTTCTCCACTGCTTAGTTTTATTACACCTAGTCCATATCATGCATTTGGGTTACTTGCCTGGCTCATCTATGACAGAAAAGAAGGAAAGGAGAAAGGAAGCAAAAGAGAATAAAGAACCTAAATAAATGCTATTCATCTATTCAGAGCTGTTTCAAAAAATTAAGTGAATGTTTTCTTCAGTATTCTCAGTCAAATCTTGCTTCATACTTATTATAAATACCCTGAAGGAGTCATACCAATGTGTTCTCTGTAAATGCCATGAACAACACTTTGTTTTTGTATAACGGTTTTCATGACTATTGTATTAATAGCACATTCAATAATATTTCAATAGGTCAAAATTATGTCATATGTTTTCTTACAAATTTTTGTCATTTTTTAGAATTAATGCTACAGCCCAGAAAATAAATATTATTATGAAAGCTTGTTTGTAAAAAATTTCAGTAATTTTATATCTTTTTGGTAAGATTAGTGGCTTCTATTGTATATATTTACAATGGATATCAATGTTGATATTGAGTTATCCAATCTAATATTCTTAATAGCTCCAGCTTGAACTATGAATGGTAGATGACTATGTTCTGTACGTATACCAATATGAGTATTTTTCTATGTTAAAGATTTTACTAGAATCCTTAAATAAACCATAATCATCTAATATGATTTTCTGCTGGAATTTATATAATTTATTATCATAAAAATATATTGAATTGCTCAGATAAAAATTTTAACTTCTATAAATCTTAATATATAAAAATATGGTCTTCTTCAACAAATTGACATTGCAAATTGGTTTAGAATATCCTTAAATAATTATAGTTTTATTTTCAAATAAGCTACTTTTGCAAATTGTTATCATTTTTAACTTAACTTTTGTGTTTTGTTTTTTGTTTGTATTTATGTCTTCCCCAAATGTCCTCTTTTTTTATGCAAATGTAGAGAAGGCAGACACCTAGAATTCCATCCTAGAATTAAGACGTGACAATAAACTTTGATTTTGTGAGTGCATTGTACGCTGACCTAATAGAAGATGAAAAGTGGAAAAATTTGCACAATGAGTTCAAGAACTCTGAGGAAAAGTATTCAAACAGTCTAGTTAAGAAAACCTTATTAAGTGGAAATTTCATACCAAACAAGGCTGCACAGCTTGGAAAAGCCCTGCACTTAAAATTAACTTCAGCCGGTGATGTGCTGAGGCTCTTGACTCAAGTACAGGCACACGGGCTGGCTATGATTTGGAGAAACATGGTAAGTCATATGAATGTTAGTTGATAACTAATTTTATTGTTCATGTGCGGAGGACATAGGGTCAAATGTGCCCCAAGAAGACCTCGAGAAAATATATGTGGCTCTGGATACAGACCTCATGTGACAAAAGGAAGCAATAACCAGGAAAGACTGATTCTCTCTGCTTATCATTTAGAACAATCAAAATAAGTTTGAAATGAAAAAAACTCCAGGGGTTTTGAAATTATTAAACTGGCATGTACATACTAAAAGGGAGCCAATAAGGAATTTACTACTAATAGGGCATGGGGGAAAGCAGATCCAAAGTTCTAATTAATGTTTTAAAATGATGGTATCCATTTGCCAGTTTTAAGATAAGTCCATACTGCTGAAAATTGCTCTATGTTTCTTACCACATTTATCTATGTCAGCATTTATTTTACTTCTAAATTTAATTACAATTTTTAAATTCCATTATACAAGTTATCTCACATTTAACTATTTGTTACCTTTCCTTCTCATCTTACAATATTACTTCTCTACCTGTCAAACTATATACAGTCCAGTTCCTATTCCAATTATGGCTATAATTGCAGTACAATTAATCAATTAATTAACAAAGCATAGCAAAAAATCAAAAGAACTTTAAAAAATTATGTATAATTGTGATCAATGTGGATGTTTTTAAATATGTTCAACTATTTATACTATTTTCCTTCTCAAAGAATCATCAGAATGCTGAACACATAAAATAAACATTGGATAAATTAAAAATAATTTTTCATTCTAAACAATCTAAAGTAATTTAAGTATAGTTCCTATTTAGACTTAACCATAACACTTTGAAAAACTTGAAAGAATTC